>NC_000004.12:158012290-158315320 GCF_000001405.40 Homo sapiens | reverse complement strand
TCTTGTGGTTCCCTTTGCTTGGAATGTTCTACTGGAGCTTTTTAGAGTTGGCTTCTTGACAGTTAAGCCTGAGCTCAATAGCCTGTCTTCAGAAAAGGCCTTCCCTTTCTATTCAATTTAAATATCCTGTTACTTCCGTCTATCGTTCTGCCATTACATTATCTGTCTGCTTGTCTTCATAGACCTTAGAGCTATTTGACATTCTTTTTCTGTTCATGTTCATTTGTTTACTTATTTATTTTCTCTCTCTCAATGGAAAGTAGGCCCCTTGAGACCAAGTTTAAGACTAAAACACTGAATCCAGAAACTAGAATAGTGTTTGGCATGTGAACAATTCTATTACTCTATCTAGAACAATCTGTGAGTCATGCATGCTAAATGTAGCCAAACCCAGTCCAGTGTTTTCTTGAAGTTTTTCTTCCAGCTTGAATAAATAATCAAGTAGAGGACTCAGCCTCTGAAATATGTCTATTAAGAAATTTCTTGGCTAATCACATGCACACATTTCAAGAAGATGAAATTTAGTATAGAGTCACATTATGGCTAAATCCACTTAGAAAAAACAATCTTGAAAACAAGCAGCAGAGTTATAGCTTAGTTGAAACACATATTCAAATTGCATTTTTGAAGACCACACATATTCTCTAAAACATCTGTAAGTGGCCCATGTTCAAATTTTAGTGTTTTCCCCAGAATAGAGAAAATAGTTACTTCAAAGCTTTCTTTTAGGATAGAGAAAAACACAAGAAAAATTCCTGGTGTTCCACTCTCAGTCAGGGCATAATTTTGTTTCTAAAAGATTAATTGGGAGAAATCTCAAGATGGCTGACTAGATGCAGCTGGGAAGTGCAGTTCTCACAGAGAAAGATGGGGATTTTGACTAAAACAACAACATTTGAACAAATCTTTGGAGACAAAATGCTGAATGTGGATGGAGATAAGATGCAGTTGATGAGGCTGAAGAGGGAGAAGCTGGGAAGCTCTCATGGGGTACCTGAACACTGGGGCTGGTTTCTGGCCCTAAATGGCTCCTGGGGAAAGGGTGAGTAAAGGGACTAGGGGACTGCTCACTCTCACCCTGGTCCTCTGAGATCCTAGCTGCAGGCAACCCCATGCCACCCATGGACATTTGAGCTGGCAGGGGATCTTCCCAGAGATTAGATAGAGATGGAGCTCCAGCAGGTACAGACCTGGGGACCTTTGTGCACAAGACTGCTCTGGGGGAACCCAGCCATAAACATCCATCCTCCAGGGCTCTCAGTCTCCCTCTGAGAGGCTCTGCCACCAGCTAACTGCTGGGGAAAAAGCAGGGCCTGCTTCCCCACAGGACTAGGTCATGCCTGTCCTGTGGGCCCACCTGCCCACCAGCCCTTCTGAGGGTCCCTGCCTGGCTGCCCCATAAGAGTGTGTACACAGTGGAGCCTCCACTGCCCATCCTGGGTGTTTGTTCTACCTGAGTGTGTTTCAGCAGTCTGGGAGGGCTTTGGATCCCACAACACATCTGGAACCCAACCCTGAGGTTCCGGAGGGAGCCATGACCAGGTCCTGGTGACTCGGAGCTGTGGCCTGCATCTTGGAAGTGCCAAGCCAAGATCTGTGCTCAGCACTTGAGTGGGGAGAAGCCTACGCTCTCAGAAAATTGAGACTGGCGAGTTGTATGGGTTTGCAGTCTGGTATGGGTCCTAGGTGTGCCGCCTTTCACAGGACTGGTCCAGTAAGAGTGTGGCCCATTCCCCTATTGGACATAGCCCTAAGGGAGCAACACAGCTGGAAACACCTAACAACACAACAAAAATTGCAGGCACTGTGCCAGTGATTGGAAGTGGCTCCTAACTGCTCAGGAGCAAGTCTGATGAGGGGGTCACCTCTTTCCCCTCCCACTGCAGAGCACAGCTTCAAATGTGAGGATACACAAAGGAGCCACATGGCTTAGCAAGAGCCTGTCTATGCTCCTTGCTCTCAAGTGCCATTTATTGAATGACAGCCCAAAAACTACACCACCAAAAAACATTTTGCTAATTTTCCTTCCTGTGAAACTAAGGACAAGAATTCAACAACAAAGACCTTGTATGTAGCCTTAGTCCTCTGAAAACTTCCAGAAACAAAACCAACTGACTAAACTCAACTTATACCACAGTTAAAGGAGTGCCAACCCTCCAAGTTGAAAAAGAATCAGCACAAGAACTCTGGCAATTCAAAAAGCCAGAGTGTCCCCTTACCACCAAAGGAGTCCACTATCTCCCCAGCAATGGTTCTTAACTAGTTTGAAATGTCTGAAATGACAGACATGGAATTCAGAATCTGGGTAACAGGGAAGCTCATTAAGATCCAGGAAAAAGTTGAAACTCAATCCAAGGAAGCCAAGCAATCCAATAAAATAATTCAAGAGCTGAAAGACAGCACAGCCATTTTAAGAACGACCCAAACTAAACTTGAGCTGAAAAATTCACTGCAAGAATTTTTTTAGTACAATCAGAAATATTAACAGCAAAATAGACCAATCTCAGAAAATAATCTCAGAGTTTGAAGACTGGTTCTTCTAATAAATTTAGACAAAAATTAGGATAAAATAATTAAGAAAAATGAAAAAAACCTCAGAAATATGGGATTATGTAAAGAGACCAAACCCATGACTCATTGGCATTACTGAGACAGAATAAACAACTTAGAGAATATATTTGAGGAAATAGTCTACAAAAAGTTCCCTAATCTCACCAGAGAGGTTGAAATTAACATCCAGAAAATACAAAGAACCTCAGTTAGATTCTATATGAGATGACTATTCTCAAGGCACATAATCATCAGATTCAGCAAAGTCAATATCAAAAAACAAAACAAAACAAAAAAGCCTTAAAATCAGCTAGGGAAAAGGGGCAGGACTTACAGAAGGAACCCCATCAGTTTAGCAGCAGACCTATCAGCAGAAACTTTACAAGCCAGAAGAGATTGGGGGTTTCAGCATTATTAAAGAAAAGAAATTCCAACCAAGAATTTCATATCCCACCAAACTAAGCTTCATAAGTGAAGGAGATATAAAATCCTTCTGAGACAAGCAAATGCTGATGGAATATTTTTCAGCTAGACCAGCCTTACAAGACATCCTTAAGGGAGTGCTAAACATGGAATTGAAAGAATAACACCTGCTACCCCAGAAAACACATTTAAGCACATAGCTCACAGGCACTATAAAGTAACTACGCAATCAAGTCTATATAACAACCAGATGATGATAGTATCAAAATCACTCACCAGTATTAATCTAGAATGTAAATGGGCTAAACTCCCCACTTAAAAGACACAGAGTGGCAAGTTGGATAAAAAGACAAGATCCAATGATCTGTTATCTTCAAGAAACCCATTTCACATGTAATAACACCCACAGGCTCAAATTTAAAGGATGGAAAAAAAATCTACCATGCAAATGGAAAACAAAAAAGAGCAAGAGTTACTACCCTTGTATCAGACAAAACAGACTTTAAGCCAATAAAAATTAAGAAGGACAATGAAGGGTATTACATAATGATAAAGGCTACAATCCAACAAGAAGCCTTAATTAACTGAAATATGTACACACCCAACATTAAAGCACCCAAATTGATAAAACAAGTTTTTCCTGGCATACAAAAAGACTTAGAAAAACCACACAATAATAGTGGGAGACTTTAACACCCCACTGACCGCATTAGACAGATCACTGAGGCAGAGAACTAACAAACACTGTACTTAAACTTGACACTTGATCAATTGGATCTAACAGACATTTGCAGAACACTCCACCCAACCACCACAGAATATATATTATTCTCATCTGCACATGGAAAATATTCTAAGATCAACCACATGCTTGGTCATAAAGCAAGTCTCAATACATTCAGAAAATTCAAAATTGTACCAAGCACATTCTTGGATCACAGTGCAATAAAAATGGAAATCAATATCAAGATCCCTCAAAACTACAAAAATACATGGAAATTAATTTACTCCTGAATAATTCCTGGGTGAACATCAAATTTAAGGCAGAAATAAAAAAAATTATTTGAGATTAATGAAAATGGGAATGCAACTTACCAAAATGTCTGGGATGCAGCCAAAGCAGTGCTACAAGGAAAGTTTATAACACTAAATGCCTTCATCAAGAAGTTAGAAAGATATCAAATTAGCAATCTAAATTTGCACCTAAAAGAGGTAGAAAAAAGAGAACAAACTAACCCCAAAACTAGCAGAAGAAAAGAAATAGCTATAATTAGAGAAGAGCTTAATGAAATTGAGATGCCAAAATTCATACAAAAGATTAATGAAACCAAGAGTTGGTTCTCCAAAAAAAAAAAAAAAAAAAAATTAAGATTGATAAACTCCTAGCTAGATTAACAAAGAAAACAGAGAAGATACAAATAAACACAATCAGAAATGACAAAAGCAGTATTACAACTGATCTCACAGAAATACAAAAGGTCCTCAGAGACTACTATGAACAATAATATGCACACAAATTAGAATATCTGGAGGAAATGGACAAATTCCTAGAAGCACGCAATCTCCCAAGATTGAATCAGGAAGAGATTGAAACCCTAAATAGACCATCATCAACTTCTGAAACTGAACTGGTAATAAAGAATCTACCAACCAAAAAAACCCCTGCACCAGATGGATTCACAGCCAAATTCTACTAAAAGTACAAAGAAAAACTTATACCAATCTTGCTAAAACTATTCCAAAAAATTGAGGTTGAGGACTCCTTCCCAACTCATTCTGTGAGGCTAGTATTATCCTGACACCAAAACCAGGCAGAGATCCAACCAAAAACAAAACAAAACAAAACAAAACAAAACAAAACTACAGCGTATATTATTGATGAACATATGAACATAGATGCAAAAGTCCTCAACAAAATAGTAGGAAACCAAATTTAGCAGCACACCAAAAAGTTAATATGTCATGTTCAAGTAGGCTTTACTGATGGGATGCAAGGCTAGTTCAACATACATGATTCAATAAATGTGATTCACTACATAAACATAATTAAAAGCAAAAACCTTATGATCATCTCAATAGATGCAGAAAAAGCTTTTGCTAAAATGCAACATTGATTCCTAATGTAAAAAAAAAAAACAAACCAGTAACGGAAAAGACATTGAAAGAACATACCTCAAAATAATAAGAGCCAAACATCTAAGAGACAAACCCATAGCCAATATCATACTGAATGGGCAAAAGCTCCAACGATTCCACTTGAGAACTGGAACAAGACAAGAATGCCCACTCTGACAACTTCTATTCAACAGAGTATTGGAAGTCCTAGCCAGAGCAATAGGGCAAGAGAAATAAATGGCATCCAAATAGGAAAAGAAGAAGTCAAACTACCTCTTTTGTGGTGATGACATGAAAATCCTATACCTAGAATACCTAGAAAAATACCTAGGAAATACCTAGAAAATCCTAAAAAAAAAAATACCTAGAAAATCCTCAAGACTCAGCCAAAAGTCTCCTAAAACTGATAAATGATTTTAGTAAGATTTCAGGGTACAAAATTAATGTACAAAAATCAGTAGCATTTCTATACAACAACAATGTCCAGGCTGTGGGTGAAATCAAGAACACAATCCTACTTACAATAATCACAAAGAAAATGGAATACCTAAGAATACAGCTAACCAATGAGGTGAAAGGTCTCAACAAGGAGAACTACAAAACATGCTGAAAGAAATCATAGACAACACAAATAAATGGAAAAACTTTCTGTGCTCATGGATTGGACAAATCAATATTTTTAAAATGGCCATACTGCCCAAAGCAGTATTATTTAATGCTATTACAGATTTAATGCTATTCCTATCAAACTACCAATGCCATTCTTCACAGAATTAGGAACAACTATTCTAAAATTCATATGGAACCAAAAAAGAGCCCAAAGCAATCCCAGGCAAAAAGAACAAAGCTGGAGGTATCATACTACCCAACTTCAAACTATACTATAAGTCTACATTAACCAAAACAGCATGATACTAGTACAAAAACAGACACATAGACCAATGGAACAGAATAGAAAACTCAGAAATAAAGCTGCACACCCTATAACCATATGACCTTTGACAAAGCCAACAAAAACAAGTAATGACGAAAGGACTCCCTACTGAATAAATGGTGCTAGGATAACTGGCTAGCTATAGGCAGAAGATTGACAATGGACCCCTACTTTTCAGCATATACAAAAATTACCTCAAAATGGATCAAAGATTTAAATGTAAGACTTCAAACTATAAAAATCCTAGAAAACTCAGACTTGAAGTGTCAAACAAAAAAAGGAAAAAAAAATTCTAGAAGACAAATTAGAAAATACTCTTTCTGACATTGGTCTTGGCAAATAATTTTTGTCTAAGTCCCCAAAAGCAATTGTAACAAAATCAGAAATAGACAAATAGGACCTAATCAAACTAAACAGCTTCTGCACAGCAAAATAAATGATCAACAGAATAAACAAAATAACATGGGAGAAGTTATTGGCAAACTATGCATGCAACAAAGGCCTAATATCCAGAAACTATAGGGAACTTAAATCAATAAGCAAAAAATAACCTCATTAAAAATGGGCAAAGATGTATGGCGTTATTTCTGAGGCCTCTGTTCTGTTCCATTGGTCTATTTATCTGTTTTGGTACCAGTACCATGCTGTTTTGGTTATTATAGCCTTGTAGTATAGTTTGAAGTCAGATAGCATGATGCTTCCAGCTTTGTTCTTTTTGCTTAGTATTGTCTTGGCTATACGAGCTCTTTTTTGGTTTCATGTAAAATGTAAGGTTTTTTTTTCTAATTCTGTGAAGAAAGTCAATGGTAGCTTGATGGGGATAGCATTGAATCTATAAATGACTTTGGGCAGTATGGCCATTTTCATGATATTGATTCTTCCTATCCATGAGCATGGAATGTTTTTCCATTTGTTTATGTCTTCTCTTATTTCCTTGAGCAGTGGTTTGTAGTTCTCCTCAAAGACATCCTTCATATCCCTTGTAAGTTGTATTCCTAGGTATTTTATCCTCTTTGTAGCAATTGTGAATGGGAGTTTGCTCATGATTTGGCTCTCTGTTTGTCTATTATTTGTGTATAGGAATGCTTGTGATTTTTGCACATTGATTTTGTATCCTGAGACTTTGCTGAAGTTGCTTATCAGCTTAAGGAGATTTTGGGCTGAGATGATGGGGTTTTCTAAATATACAATCATGTCATCTACAAACAGAGGCAATTTGACTTCCTCTCTTCCTATTCGAATACGCTTTATTTCTTTCTTTTGCCTGATTGCTGGGGCCAGAACTTCCAATACTATGTTGAATAGGAGTGGTGAGAGAGGGCATCCTTGTCTTGTGCTAGTTTTCAAAGGGAATGCTTCCAGGTTTGCCCAATCAGTATGATATTGGCTGTGGGTCTGTCATAAATAGCTGTTATTATTCTGAGATACGTTCCATCAATACCTAGTTTATTGAGAGTTTTTAGCATGAAGGACTGTTGAATTTTATCAAAGGCCTTTTCTGCATCTATTGAGATAATCGTGGTTTTCATCATCGGTTCTGTTTATGTGATGAATTATGATCTTTGACAAACCTGACAAAAACAAGCAATGGGGAAAGGATTCCCTATTTAATAAATGGTGCTGGGAAAACTGGTTAGCCATATGCAGAAAACTGAAACTGGACCCCTTCCTTACACCTTATATGCAAATTAATTCAAGATGGATTAAAGACATAAACGTAAGACCTAATACCACAAAAACCCTAGAGGAAAACCTAGGCAATACCATTCAGGACATAGGCATGGACAGAGTCTTCATGACTAAAACACCAAAAGCAATGGCAACAAAAGCCAAAATTTACAAATGGGATCTAATTAAACTAAAGAGCTTCTGCACAGCAAAGAAACTATCATCAGAGTGAATAGGCAACCTACAGAATGAGAGAAAATTTTTACAATCTATCCATGTGACAAAGGGCTGATATCCAGCATCTGCAAAGAACATAAACAGGTTTACAAGGAAAAAAACAACCCCATCAAAAACTGGGCTAAGGATATGAACAGATACTTCTCAAAAAAAGACATTTATGTGGCCAACAAACATATGAAAAAAAGCTCATCATCACTGGTCATCAGAGAAATGCAAATCAAAACCACAATGAGATACCATCTCATGTCAGTTAGAATGGTGATCACTAAAAGTCAGGAAACAACAGATGCTGGAGAGGATGTGGAGAAATAGGACCACTTTTACACTGTTGGTGGGAGTATAAATTAGTTCAACCATTATGGAAGACAGTGTGGCAATTCCTCAAGTATCTAGAACCAGAAATACCATTTGACCCAGTGATCCCATTACTGGGCATATACCCAAAGGATTATAAATCATTTTATAAAGCCACATGCACAAGTATGTTTATTGCAGCACTATTCACAATAGTAAAGACTTGGAACTAACCCAAATGCCCATCAATCATAGACTGGATAAAGAAAATGTGTCACATATACACCATAGAATACTATGCAACAATAAAAAAGGATGAGTTCATGTCCTTTGCAGGGACTTGGATGAAGCTGGAAACCGTCATTCTTAGCAAACTAACACAAGAACAGAAGACCAAACACCACATGTTCTCACTCATAAATGGGAGTTGAACAATGAGAACACATGGACACAGGGAGGGGTACATCACACACTGGGGCCTGTCATTGGGTGGGAGTCTAGGGGAGGCATAGCATTAGGAGAAATATCTAATGTAGATGATGGGTTGATAGGTGCAGCAAACCACCATGGCCCATGTATACCTATGTAACAAACCTGCACATTCTGCACATGTATTCCAGAACTTAAAGTATAATAAAAAAAAATGGACAAGGAACATAACAGACACTTTTCAAAAGAAGGCATACAAATGGCCCACCAACATATGAAAAAATGCTTCACATCACTAATTATCACAGAAATGCAAATCAAAAACACAATGAGATGCCATCTCATACCAGTCAGAATGGCTATTATTAAAAAGTAAAAAAGAAGAAAAAAATCATATTTGGTGAGGCTGCAGAGAAAAGAGAATGCTTACACACTGTTGGTAGGAGTGTAAATTAGTGCAGCCACTGCAGAAAGCAATCTGGAGATTTCCAAAGAACTTAAAACAGAGCTACAATTTGACCCAGTGATCCTATTACTGGTTATATACTCAAAGGAAAATAAATCATTCTACCAAAAGGACACAATCACTCATATGTTGTACTATTCACAATAGCAAAGATATGGAATCAACTTAGGTGCACATCAATGGGTAGACTGGATAAAGATAATGTGGCACATATATACTGGGGAATACTACACAGCCATAAAAAAGAACAAAATTGGCTGGGCACAGGTGGCTCACGCCTGTAATCCCAGCACTTTGGGAGGCCGAGGAGGGCAGATCACGAGGTCAGGAGATAGAGACCATCCTGGCTAACACAGTGAAACCCTGTCTCTACTAAAAATATGAAAAAAATTAGCCACGTGTGGTGGTGGGTGCCTGTAGTCCCAGCTATTCAGGAGGCTGAGGCAGGAGAATGGCATGAACCTGGGAGGCGGAGCTTGCAGTGAGCCAAAATCATGCCACTGCACTCCAGCCTGGGTGACAGAGCGAGACTCTGTCTCAAAAAAAAAAAAAAAAAAAAAAAAGAACAACAAAAAAATAACAAAATCGTACCCTTTGCAGCAATATAGATGCAGCTGGAGGTCATTATCCTGAGCAAACTAATGCAGGAACAGAAAAGCGAATACCACATATTCTCACTTCCAAGTGAGCCAAACACTGAGCACACATAGGCATGTGCTCAATGCAACAATGGAACAATGGACACTGCAGACTACTAGAGGCAGGAAGGAGGGAGGGGAGAGTGGGTTGAGAAACTACCTATTGGGTACTATGCTCACTACCTGGGTGACAGAATCTGTACCCCAAACCCTGGCATTATACAATATATCCATGTAATAAACCTGCACATGTGCTCCTTGTATCTAAAATAAAAATTGAAATTTTTTAAAAAGATTACTTAATTCTTTAGGTAATGGTTAATATTAAGCAAAACAAAAACACTGTCATTTTACTTTCCAAGGCATTTGTGTTGGTGGTTTTCTTAATTTAGTATTTTATAAAGAGTGCTAAACCATATTTGTTAATATTTTTATTGACTGTCAGCAGATCCACAGTAGGTCTGTAACTGGTTGGTGTCAATACAAAGAAAATAATTTTGGAACAGTAATCTTCTGTTCCTTGTATGTGCTAATAGCTTTATTTCATCCTAGTATGGCAGTTTTAGAATATTAGAAAAGAGATAGTTGACTGTTACAAAGAATAAATAACACTTCATCAGAATAGAAAATGAGAAGGGAAACCCTCTGTAATTCAAAACCTTAGTACTGTATTAACTTGCTGCACACATACGACTAACTGGTAGAAGGAACTCTTAGGACCATGATGGTCTAACTTATTTACTCTTTCTCTTTTTTGAAGGGGAAAATAATAATGACCACTTGATATCATGTGGAAGAAAACCTTTCACTGGCCCCCTTCCTTGGGTTTCTATACCTTAGAGGGTTCTCTGCCCATCTGTGATGGCCATACTTCTCAGCTTCAGACAACGTAATGCCAGGGGAGAATCTCAGTGGAGTCCCATTAAGCACCCAGTGGCCCTGCAATTGGCACCTTCACTCATCACATTCTGTGGTTGCCTGCTTTGTCTTGATCAGCTGCCATTGTGAGACTGAGAAGACAAGGTTCTGTGGCGATGAAGCAACTTTGCATGGGGCCACTTTTGTGTTGACTGAGGAGGATGGAGAGGAGGATGAGATAAAGTGCCGAAACATGAAAAGATGCTGAAGCAATTCTCCATGAGAAATATATTTTCAAGTTATTAGAGATATATATTTCAGCAACTGGGCTTATTTGCATTAGCTTTTTATTTACCAAAGACCTTGGTTATATAATAAAAAGAAATTATTTTATATACCAAAATAGCATATCTGCATTCTAACTGCAAATATGTTTGACATTGACAGATATATTTTAACCTCCTCTTGCAAGTTTGATTGTACCAGTAACAACTGAGGGCATATTAATGGGAAGTGAGGTGTAATGGATTCTCTCTCCATCTTCTCCGGGTAGCATCCATCTCCTCCCTGCAAAGTGACAAGGTAAGGTCATCTTAAACAGTGCCTTATTGCAAATAATTTCATTTCATTAAATTACCAGAGAGATGCTGAAACTGCTTTTTGTTTCTTCTTTAGTGTATGGAAAACAAATCAATGTCAGAATACTTTTTGTTGCTATGACAGACTGAGAAGATGTGAGAAATCCTTCTCAATTTCAACATATAAATTTAGAAAGAAAATATAACAAAAAAAGCAAAAAACCCTGAAATATATACTTGAACTCCCCCAAAAAGGAGAATCATTGGACAAATAAATGGAGAGGAAATTAAAACTCAGGGCAATGAATAACATGGGATGTAAGGGCCTGACAAGGCAATAAGGATTAGTAGTGGGCACTATGTCTGCAGGTAAACAACTTGAAGGAACACATGACTTGAACGAGTCAGGTAAAGCAATAAATGGAAGAGTTTGCACAAATGTTGCAGGCACAAAAATATCTGGCAGACCATAGGGGTAACAACTAGGCAACATATAAAAGAATAGGTAAGTCTGAAAACAAACTAAAGAGGAAACTTTAAGAATAGTAAAATTTACAGAAACTGAAGTTTTAACAATGCGACTAAAAGATTGATCAGAAGAAATCAATGAAGAATAATTACTGAATTGGAAAATTAAAGAGAAAAACACCAAGAAATAAATCAGAGATGAAAAATATGAAACATCCATAGAGAATAAAATAAAAGAATTCCATTGATAAATGCTGATAAAATTCCAGGGAAAAAGAAAAAAAAGAGAATTAGGTCAAGGGAGGTGCTAACAGAGATAATGGCTCAGACCATCCCAGAACTGAAGATGGGTCTCAAGTTGAAGGAGTATATTAAGATCTAATGGGAAAAGCAAAAATGAATTATACCTAGAAAACCCAAAGCAACATTGCAGAATATCAAACAAACAAACAAACAAATCAAAACAAAACTTAGTTTAAACCAGACAGAAAAAAACAGAAAACCTATACAGGCATGAAAGTTAGACTGGCAGCTGATTTCTCAGTAGCTATACTGAATATTTCAAAACAGTGAAACCGTAGTTTCTATGTTCTGAAGCAAAATCACTATCAACCTATAATTCTATGCAGCTAAACTATAACCTGAGAATTAAGGTAAAATTAAGATATTTTTGGTCATATGAAGACTAAGAGGATATGTTTCAGAGGCATAAGTCACATTAATTTAGGTGTTAGCCTCTTGTTGGTGCTAATATCTTTGTTTGCAAGTTTTAATATTGAGAGATGCTGAATAACAAAAGAGTGGATGGAGATGTATTTGGTGGACTGGGGCTGACCATCCATTTCTCTCTCCTTCTGGTGTGACTTCTTGAATGAGAACTGTATAGGAGCATTAAAGCACGGTTCCCAGGCTCCTTGAAGTGAAATTCCAGCATGATTCAGAAACAATCAGATGTGCTCATGCAGGATCAGGATATGCTGGTTTTGCTCCTTTTGGCAAGCAAAGTTGTAGAACATTCTTCCTCTTTCTGGAATTTTGGCAGAGGCCTCAGGGACCATGTGCTACTTTTTCATGCATATTGAAAGGCAGGGTGGAGAGCATCTATTTTTTTTTTTAATGTAGATTGGAACAATTTGGCTTAGATCTTGAGACACTGATAGCAGAATTACAGTGATTTTCTGATTATGCTGGTTCCTTGTGTATGGTCCTTTGCTTATTGTAGTGACAAATTATAGCTGTGAAAGGGTGGTTCTGAAACAAGTGACTTCCTGATTATAGAAGAGGTAGCCACTTTTTGTAACCCAGTTCTGAAGTGTGGCCATAAAATATGCTGCAATGCCTTGCCCAGATTCCTTTCATTTGGCCAGTACGCCCATGCCCCAGGGGCTATTAGCTACTAACAGCTCATAACTGCTCTTCCTCTCTGAAGAAATGCCCTGAGATGATGGTATGCAGATCACCTGGAAAGTTATGCACCATCCTCCAGGGACAGCCCTCAGCCAATGTCTGAATGACAAGAGGGTATAAAAAGCCAGTCTTCTTATCTCAAGGGTAACCAACTCTGTGGGGGTGACTTGTGCTTAGAGCTCACTTGTAAGATCAGGTTGAAAACAGTCTCCATCTGAAACTTTATTTTCACTTCATTTGTGTTTCCCTCCCCTAAGCTCGTTCTTTCCTCTCCTTCTCCACTCCCTGAATAAATTTTGAACAAGAATCCTTTTCTCAGGCTCTGCTTCTAGGGAACCACATCTTGGATAGTTGTGTGCCAGGAGTGGGCCTATGAAACAGACCATTAGGGTAGGATTTGACTCTTCTCAGCTGGATTACAAAAAAGATCCAGTTACTGGTGGTAGGTGGAATATTAATAGTGACTAGCATGTTGGACCAGTAAGATTGCTAAGACTTTCCCCTGTGGTGAGCTGGGATGGGATACAGATGAAAGAAGATACATGAGACAGTATAGTTTCTTGAGCATTTGAGAAGATTGGGGAAATCATAACTATAAGGACTATGGAGTTGGATGTCTGCTGCTAATCGCAAATGATTTGTTGAAAAGAGAAAATGACAGGCTTACATATATTAAGAACTTAAAGTTTAGAGTGACATTCAAAGGACTTTTTGAAAGTGTTTCACGAAACTCTCATCTTCCACAGCCAGAGGGCCAACAGAGCTGATGATTTAGGCCCAGGACTTAATTGTAGAAGTGGAAGAGGCTTCAAGGGAGGCTGAATTTTCAGTGTTGGTAAGTCTCCCATGCTGAAGCGAGGACACTGCTAGGGAAGGAGTGAAACCCTGAAACTTGAGACCTAAGGTGATGCATTTGAGAACCTTGAATCCAGCTTCCCTTGAATCTTTTGCAGAGTGGTAAATTCTCTCATGTTCCAGAATAGAAGTCTCAAAAACAATGCTTGTCAAAAAGCAATCGGCCCTCATATTCACCACTGACCAACAAAACCATAGCAAGTCAAATCTCAGCTTATCTTGATGAGGGATGTGATGGGGCTGTCAAAGGAGGAAATATTGTAGGACAAAGGAAGTGCAGAATATGGTTACCTTGTGTTGGATGACACTGTCTTGAGGGCTTCTGCTAAACAAAGGAAAGTTTGTCAATAGGGAGCATTCTATGTGACACAGTTTTTAACACTCAGGCATGAGCTGTGGTAATACTTTCTAGATTGGCACCCAGAAGCCTGTGAGGTATGACCTGCAATCAAAGAAAAGGCAAAGAGCTGTTGTGGCCAGTTGCGAAGGAAGGGATAGGTTCAGAGAATTGGGAATGCTAATATTTTCCTCAGGAAGACCTAGAGGACATTCTGCTCACAAAGTCAGTAAGAATCTACTGTGAAGTGGGACATGAGGATCATTGGTTACATCAGTAATGGCTGTTTTCTCTGTTAGAGAGAACGGTTGGAGCTGTTATAGAAAGAACTAGGCTCCTGACTCGCAACGCAAATGGTAGAATTCTAGAATAGCAGAGGATAGGCACTAAACCATCAGATGCAATGAGGAGCACCTGAAATATATTTTAGTATTCTCTTGATAATTACTGAGTACACTAGGAAGAGGGAAAATCACAAGTCACATTGTCTATTAAAATGCAAAAATATTAAACAGAAATATTAATACATTGAATGTAGCAATATATATAAATCAATGTGTGTGTATGTATGTGTACATATACATATGCACAACAAATTGAGCTTATTCCCCAAGAAGGTGTTTAACACTAGAAAATTAATGTAATTTGCCATACTAAAAGAATAAAAAAGTAAAATCATGTCATTATTTCTGATACAGAAAAAGAATTTATAAAATACAAGAAGTATTTAAGATTAAAAAGGAACAGCAAAACCTCAAACAAAAATCAAGTACAAAGTGAAATTCCTTAATCTGTTAAAAGGTAAACACCATAAATAATGGTGACATATCGAAAGCATTCCTTTTAACAACAGGAAAAAGACAACAGTAACTGCTAACGTCACTTTGTTTAACATTTTCCTGGAATTTCTATTCAGTGCAATAAAAAAAAACAGGGATTAAAAATAAAAAATATTATGTACTGATGATATGTGCGTGTAGTTAGAAAATCCCAAAGATTTGTAGCTCTATTTTAGAAATTATGAGCTGGTCAATTTTCTTGGATGCAAAATAAATGTACCAAAAGCAATTGCATTTCTATATAGCAACAACAAACAGATGGTAAAGGTAAAAAATACGGCTCAACACAAACGTAGAAAGAAAGTGCAAGCAATCATAGGGAGGTCTGAAAACTACCAGACACAGCCCTAGGGCCCTTTTTCAGTTGCACAGCATATGTCAACTTCAGATAATGAACCATCAAGATATGCACAGGCTATCCTAGTTTTAGGGGAGCCCAGGAAATAAATATGTAGAGAGGTCTTTCATATACTCCGAGCCACACAGCTAAAGCCAGGCTGTAAAATTGGTCAAACTAGGTGCAAACCAGTAATTTATATATTTTTAAACTAAGTAAGCTAGTTAGTACAGAGTCCTTCCAAAAGAGTTTCAGTTTTTAAACAGCATAATATAAATCATTAACTAGTATACCTAATCCTACTTTGGCCAAGGGTCATACCAGACTTCCGTGCATCCCTGCAGATAAGCATAGTGCTGTTTCAGTCCAGCTGCAAGATAACCCTATTTTCACCAAGTCTTACATCTACTTTATATGAAAACATCTGAAACAAAAGTTACACATTAACCTTTGTTCATTCTGCATGTTGGATAGAGAAATATTTATTACAGTACTCTCTGAGCTTGCCTGTATTTTTTTGTTTTGTTTGGTTTGGTTTGGTTTTGTGAGACAGAGTTTCCCTCTTGTCATCCAGGCTGGAGTGCAATAGCACGATCTTGGCTTACTGAAACCTCCACCTTCCAGGTTCAAGCGATTCTCCTGCCTCGGCCTCCCAAGTAGCTGGGATTACAGTTCCACATTGCCACGCCTGGCTAAATTTTTGTATTTTTAGTAGAGATGGGGTTTCACCATGTTGGGCAGGCTGGTCTCAAACTCCTGACCTCAGATGATCCACCTGCCTTGGCCTCCCAAAGTGCTGGGATTACAGGCATGAGCCACCATGCCTGCAGGGTCTGACCTGCAGACGCTGGTGGAGCGACAGACGAACAAATGTATGCAGACACAGATTTTTTGCCTGGGCCGGTGGCTAGGGGACCAGGCGGCTCACAGACACTGAGGAGGGTGCCATAAAGAGTCACAGCAGCCACAGCCCTGACAAGCCGGTGCTGTGGGCATTTATTTAGTACAGATTTAATGACAAAAGCTTTGAGTCAACACAACTTGTGGGTAATTAACATGGTCACGCCCTCCCTCACCACCCCACCATTCCCCAGAGAGCAGTCCTGTGTGCGGATGATTAAAGGCCAGGTTCCAAGGCCTAAGCAAACTAACTTATCTAAATCAATTCCCTTGCACTTCCTTGTTATCTACCCTGAGAGAATTCAGCTGCCTTCAGCCAAATCCTCTTTTGAAGCTTTTGCAAAACCTCCTGGCCTTCCAATAAGGTTTGCATCTTTTTCTTATAATTTCTCGCACCAGCCTGACTGATCTTCTATATCTACCCCTTTTCTGTTTGTTTTTTTTTTTTTGTTGTTGTTGTTGTTTTTTGCATCAGGTTTTGTTAATTGAAGAGCACAGATGTGTGCAGCAACAGGTTTGTCTGGCGCAGAAGTCACTGCTCATGTTGTGGCTTTGCATCCTAGAATTAGTAAATAACATAAGACAAACATGAGTATAATCAGTAACATTCTTTTCCAATCAAGGAGTGACCCCCACCAGGAGTGGGGTTTTATCCAAGAGAGATGTTCTCACACATCCTTCCATATGGCTGTTTGTTGGGTGTGTAGATCTACGGCATTTAGGGATTCCAAAATTCTAGTTTTAAGTTGCCTTATGTCTGCTGTTAAATTATCTTGTAAGATTCCCCAGAGGTGTTGTTTCACCTCATCCCAACTATGTGTCAATTGATTCCGAGGTAGAGAAGTGACACAGGTATGCTTATGCTCCCAGTCACAGTTTAATTGCTGTCAAAATGCCAACGCATCTTGTCGCTCCCCCACATATTCCAAGGAAGCCTTGAGGGCTTGCAGATGTGCAAGAATCTTTTGATCTATACCCTGCTGTAAGAGAAGTTCATTAGACACATTACTGGCCAAGTTATCTACAAAAGTAGCTGTTTGTACTGATTCAGTAATAGATGGCTATAGCAACACTAGCAGTTGCTAGGATGACTATGGCTGAGACTATAAAGGCTATCAGTGTAACTGAATCTTTTGTGTCTGATCTGGGATAGGGCATGTTCTAAGGTGGCAAGGGCAGAGGAACCTTGCCAATTGCATGTTAAATTGACTAGTAGGAAAACCTCAGATTGTCTCCTCAGTACCATGACACTAGTAATATTTAAATTAGATATATTATAATTAGTGATACAAGAGGCGAACCAAGCCTGTCCCTGCACTCGGGTCACAAACGAGGAGTTTTAGGGTGTAATAGAAATATTGGCTCACATAAGGAAAACATATGGATGGGTAGTGTAAATCAGGCACTGATCAGTGTGATTATGAAAAAAGGTCATAGTATTATTGTGACTGGATTATGATATGTCCCATGCCAGGTGTTAAGGGAGGTGCCAAGATGTCCCAGGTGCCATAAATTGTACTGGGGTGGCATGGACCTTACGTGGGGTCTGGGATATCCCATTCCCTTATTGGCCCAAATTATAGGGGAATGGGACGTGGCTATGAAACTGTCATTGATGCCATGATAGACGTGGACATCAGTACAATCGCCCTGCAAATGGCTGTGGGGGCTCCAGTCTAAGATGTTATAATTGCCTAACTGGGGACTATGGGCTTGTCCCCGTGACAGACCTCCCAGCTAAAATGGAATCCATTACTTTCCTGACTTTGTTCTTTAGCACAGGGAGGAATGTTTGGGAAAGTGGCATTAATTGCGTGGCCCAGTTTGAGGCTACCTGCAACTAAGACTGTTAAGGCATTTCCTTTGCCATGATGTAGCCATAATTGTGTTTGGGCAGGTACACAGTAAGGGTTAGAACTTTTATAACTAACACACAGTGGGAAGATAGTGGAGTGATATGTACTGTTACCTGGCACCTTAGTCCAATGTGTGCCATTAATGAGGGACCCCACTGGGGGTAAATCTATCCCTCCCAGCCAAACAGTTATGTTATTAGAGGCTGGGAAGGGGGTATCTGCCTAAGTAACAGGGCAGAAAAAAGGAGGATTTAGAAGATGGGCTTAATAGAGTGTAGCAGGTACAGGTTGCAGGCAAAGTGAGAGAATAAAAAAGGTCCTACAAGAGTTGCGATGTACAACAGAAAGCATAGCAAGGAACAGATTATCTGGAGTGAATGGTGTCTGTGTCCAGAGCAGGATTTGCTCAGCCTCCTAAGTCATCTTCTTCAGCATCCCCCAGGTGATGTTTGGGGCTTGTGTCATCTGTGGAAGCCACATTGTCCGGGGCTGTGGGTCTTGTAGGGTTAACTCCTTCATTTCGGGTACCGGGTTGGGTCCTAGCCCCGCCATGGTATGGTTTGATGCATTGTGCTGGAATCCAAAGAGGACCTGAGGGGGTGTGAACACAAGCATATCCTCTTCCTCATTTTAGCAAATCATTTGGACCACACCATACATTACTATTTACATCTTTCCATAAATCTGCAGGTTTTATGTCTTGAGAAGTTTTAGCAAAGTGCTTTTCTATGGCTGATTGAAATGTATCATCTAAATTTTTTAAATTAAGGATAAATAGTGCTTGTGCTAGTAGTGTTGCAGGGTCCTTACTCATATTCCCCCTTTTTTGTTTTCTGGGCATATTTTTAAGAGTGGAGTGGGCACATTCTAATATGGCCTGTCCTTGGGGGCTATACGGGATGCCTCCGGAATGTTGGATGTTTCATGTGTGACAAAATTGTTGAAATTGTGAGCTGGCATAAGCCAGATCATTATCAGTTTTAATTTTTGTGGGCTGCCCCATAAAAGCAAAAGTTAAGAGAAGATGTTTAATAACATATTGAGTGGACTCTCCAGGAAAAGCATGTGTGCTAACTAGGTGAGAATTGGTATCAATGGATACATGTACATATCTTAGTTTTCCAAATTCAGGGATGTGTGTAACATCTGTTTGCCATAACTGATTAGGTTCTAGTCCTCTAGGGTTAACACCTGTTGAAGGAGGGGGATGTGCCTGTGAGCTGGCAATCTGAGCATTGCAGGATAATTTGTTTAGCTAGTCTTTGGGTAAGTTGAAATTGTTTAGTTAAGTTTCTCCAACTTTGGTGGAAAAACTGATGCTATTGGGTGGCTTGGTCAAGTAGTGACATCATAATTTGCAGGCCTGCTTGATTCTTACCATGAACTAGTAGGCCAGGCAGTGAGGTGTGGGCTCAAATGTGTGTTATAAAAATAGGATGTGTACATTGATCTAGCAATTGATGAAGTAGCAGAAAAAGTGCACACAGGGTGGGCTCAAGAGTGGACTTAATGAGGGCTGGTTTAAGGTTCTGCAATAAATAAACAGAGTAAGCAGGATCACTAACAATGTTGATAGTCTGAGTGGAAAAAATTTCCAGGGCCAATATTAAGGCTTCAACCTCAGCTCTCTGAGGGCTAGTAAATCCAGAACGAATGAGGGAATTATGTGGTTTCCACCAGATAGCCGCTTTTCCATGTTTACCAGAGCCATCAGTAAAAAGCGTTAAAGTGTTAGGTATGGGAGAGTGAACTTCTTTTGTAGGCACAACTACAGGAGTACAAGATAAGAACTGAAGTAGTTTATCAGCAGGAAGGGCATGCTCTATATGGCCTGTGTAATCAGAGAGTGCTATCTGAAAATCTAGAGATGGGGCAATACTGCTTCAAATTGCTTTTTGCTTAAAGGAATTCTGATGACATCAGGGTCATAACCTAGCAACTGATTGCATCATCTGTGGCCTGAATAGATGACTTTATTAACTAGCTGGATATAGGAAGATAGAGTTTTAGTCCCTGTATGTGAGCAAATAACCCACTCTAGGAAGTGTAGCCCTGGGGCCTCCATCCTATTAATCCTGTTGGGGAATGTTTAGTAGGAAAAACAAACAATTGAACTGAATATTTTGGGTCTGTGAGATCTAGTTGCCTCTGAGAAATAGCGTGCTCTATTTCCTCAATTTCTCTTTTTGCTGCAGTAGTTAAATACCTGGGAAAGTCTAGGGCTGTATTGCCCTTTAGGATAGAAAACAGATTTTGCAACTTATCAGTAGTTATGCCCAAGGTGGGATGAAGCCAGTTAATATCACCTAGTAATTTTTGATAATAATTTAAGGTATGTAAGCTGCTAGTATTTAACCTTTTGAGGTCTTACTGACTGGGAATATCTTAGTATGTATCCAAGATATTTCCAAGGAGAGGACATTTGTACTTTTTCAGGTGCTATGATTAAACCTCTTAACTGTATATTCTTTATGACAGAGGCATACAAACTTAAAAGTACTGGCTCTGTTGGGGCTGCCAGTAAAATATCATCCATCAAATGAATAATCCTGCAATTAGAAAATTCTTTTCTACTGGGGAGCAAAGCCTGGTTTACGTGATACTGACACATGGTAGGACTGTTTAGCGTTCCTTGAGGAAGCACTTTCCAATGAAATTGGTGAGCTGGCCTTTCATTATTGATAGCTGGTATTATAAATGCAAATTTTTCTCTGTCCTGTGCAAGGGGAATAGTATAAAAGCAGTCTTTTAAGTCAATAATGACTATAGGCCAATCTTGAGGAATCATCATGGGGGAAGGGAGGCCCTGTTGAAGGGTCTCCACAGGTTGCAAATTAGCATTGATAGCCCATAAGTCATGCAAAAGTCTCCACTTGCCAGACCTTTTGGGAATGATGAAAATGGGCAAATTCCAAGAGCTGTTTGATGGTTCTATATGGCCAGCTTTTAATTGCTCCTCAACTAATTCATGGCCTTGTAATTTCTCTCCCTTTAAAGGCTACTGTTCTACCCAAATTGGATCTTGAAAGAGCCAGGTCAGGGTTAGGGGAGGGATAATAACAGTGGCCATTATTAGAAAGAGGTCTGCAGAATGACCTCAATTAACCCTCTTGTAAATGGGCTAGTGGCTCCATTTTCTCTAATGCTTTTTCTTATCTCTTTATAAGTGTCAAAAGAAATGGGTTCATATACCTGATTGCCTTATGATCTTGCATTTCCAGGCAGGCTAAGAGCTCCCCTTCTAATGCCACTTGCCTAAGACAGGGTCCCATAGCTATAGCATATCCCTTGCCTTTTTTCCAATTTATTGGAGAAGAGGGCTCAGGCAAAACCTTTGTTTCCTCTTTGCTATTTTTGCCCAGTAATGGCTGGGCTGAGGGAGAAGGAGATGGTGGTAAGGTAGGTGATGGTTTTTTTCTCCCTTCCCTTTTTAGGTTCTTCCACATAGAGCAGGACCAAAGCAGCCCTAACTAAAGCCCATAACGTTAGAGATGTTACTGGGACCCATTGCCCTTGTGCATGATGTTGTTTAAGATTTCTCCCCACTTGTTCCCAGAGCTCTATGTCTAGCATGCCTTCTTCTGGGACCCATGGATTATGGGAAACAACAGTTTGCATTGGGTCACTCAATTGAGCCTGCAAAAACGAGGCTCCACTAGCTTTAAGCAGCTGTTTCAATACTTTTATCTGTTGAGCTGATAACTGCTGTCCCATGATGAAACCCTAGCCTGAACAATTCCCTCTAACTTGGAAATCCCAAGCAGGCACCAGTGACTTACTGACTGCGCAGTCTCTTCACCTTTGTTTTCGAGGATTCCGTCGCAATCCACTGCAGCATTCCTCACGCAGGGCATCACCTGCCAGGTCTGCCCCGCAGACCCTGGCTGAGTGACAGATTAAAAAATGTAGGCAAACACAGGTTTTTTGCCTGGGCCTGCGGCTAGGGGACCAGGCTGCTCACAGACACTGAGGAGGGTGCCATAAAGAGTCACAGCAGCCACAGCCCTGACAAGCCAGCACTGCGGGCATTTATTTAGTACAGATTTAATGACAAAGGCTTTGAGTTAACACAACTTGTGAGTAATTAACATGGTTGCTCCCTCCCCCACCCCACCCCATGCAAGAGAGCAGTCCTGTGCATGATGATTAAAGGCCAGGTTCTGAGGCCTACGCAAACTAACTTATCTAGATCAATTCCCTTACACTTCCTTGTTATTTACCTTGAGAGAATTCAGCTGCCTTCAGCCAAATTCTCTTTCCAAGCTTTTGCAAAACCTCCCACCCTTCCAAGAAGGTTGGCATCTTTTTCTTATAATTTCTCCTACCACCCTGACTGATCTCTTACACATGCCTGGCCACTTGCCTCTATTTTTAAAAACTCTTCAAAGTAAAGAATTAAATGATTGGCAGAATTTTGTTGTGGTTATTATTCATATGTGTGAAAGTTTGTCTTTTTATATATAGATATAGATATATATATATATATAGAAAAACTATATAAGAAACAATACATTTGTAATTTTAAAATTATTTTTAAATAAATCACCATGCATATATAATAAACTCAGTTCATTTTTGACCTTTAATTGTAGGCCAAGTACAATTAAGTTGATTTGTTTTTAAAGATTCCCCAACTTCTGTCTAGGTGTCCCTAAAGTGAGTTGCAACACATGTCATCCACTTCGGCCCCAGCTGGAGCTCCACACCAGGGAGCCCCCACCAGGAACAAAGCTGGGACAGGCCCTGCGTCAGGCACACACTAACAAAACCAGAAGCAGGGGGCAGGGCAGAGCAGAGTTAGGGCACCACAGGGGACCAAGAAGGGCTGTCCTCAGGGAAGGCCCAGGACCACCTGTTGGGGAGGGGGACTGCAGTCATTTCTTAGTCCTCAGTGTCCACCTTGCAACAGGGATAGCCATGAGTCAGCAGCTCCCCGGAAAGAGCAATGTATTTAAAAAAGGAAAGTGAAGCACACAGAGGGAAAACAAGGGTTTTTTTGAGCAAAGTGGGTCTTCTGAAGGTAACTTATTATTTTTTTTCTTTCCAACTCTGTGTCACCTATGACCTTTTCTGATGGAGATATATTTTCTTTTTCCAAGCCTAAGCTTCCTTGTGTGCTGTGCATGCTTCCTACCCACCCCCGCTCAGCAGCCTGGCTGGGCAGGACTGGGTCTCCATGGGGACTGTCACCCTGGCCCTGGAGTTGCAGCTGCTGGCAGCAGCCTCAGCAGGCTGGGGTGGGAGGCAGGAGAAAGCAGAGCTGGGAAGCCCTCCACCCCTGCCTGGCCCCTGGAGTTGCTGACTTGCTTCGTCCCATTTCCCATCCGCCACCGCCAGGGCTGCTGACTGCTTAGCCAACAGCTCGCTCCCTTGCTCACCTGCTCTCTTCTCCGCTGTTCCCACACCAGCTCCTGCCCCTGGAACCAGAGAGGACAGGCCCAGGGCAGTGAAATAGCACACTCAGGAACTCTAGGGAACCCAGACCCCCACCCACTTGCCTCCTGAGGCCTCAGTGGGGAGGAGCAGGCAGGGGCCGGCCCCAAAGGCACAGATGGAGCCACTAGTTTCAGCCCAGAAACCCGGAGAGGGGAACAGCCTGGGGTGGGAGGAACTGATCTGCAGTGCAGCCACCCTCAAGGCTGAATCCTTAAGTGAAGGACCAAGCCAGGCTTCAGGGTGACTGTGATCAGGACTGAGGGGTGGACAAGGTGGCCCAAGTGTGGCTCCCAGACCCCGAGGCCCCATGGCCTCCCAGGTGCCCGTCATGATGACCCTCAGGTGGCAGTGACCCCGTCACTGTACAAGACATTTTCTCCTGCTGAGCAGAAGGCATCATCCCTTGCAACTACGTCTTCCCAAAATGTCTTTCTCCCTTGGTACCAAAAAGAACCCTGTACTTCCTCCTCCTCCTCCCTCCTGCCAGTGCAGTGGCCTTGGTCTTGGAGAAGGTCTGGCCCCCGGGGTGGGGCTCTCCTTTCCCTCCCCCAGCCCTGCCATCGTCACTGGCCCTCTGCAAGGTTCGATACTTGAATGCCCCCTGCCCTGTGCCTTGGGCCTGGGCAAAGCTAGGAGGAGGAAACAGCACAACTCACAGTTTGAGCTGGGGGGTAGTCTCGGCAAGGCTCCTGTCTGCACCCCTCCCTAACCTTCTCAAAAGAGGTGCACAGCCTCTCGGGTGACTTGGAAACTCCTGGACAAATTCCATTCTAACTTATTTTGACATGTATACAAACCAACTGTTCAGAGAGTCCATTTGTGCAAAGCCCTACTGTGTTCTTATGTTCCTGTTTAAAAGAGAAGTTTACTTAGCAATAATTATAAATAAATGAATATTCTTTAGTGAGGTGGAAAAAAAAGATTCCCCAACTTATATTTCTTCCTCTGAATATGTAACTATATATTTTCAGCATATGATACCTTAACAGGAATCATGGTTACCATCAAGAGTTTCATTATATGATGAAAATTCACGGACAAATAGAGGGGAACAACATACACTGGGGACTTTCAGAGGGTGGAAGATGGGAGGAGGGAGAGGATCAGGAAAAAAAACTAATGGGTACTAGGCTTAATATCTGGATGATGAAATAATTGGTACAACAAACCCTCATGACACAAGTTTGCCTATGTAACCAGCCTGCACTTGTATTCCTGAACTTGAAAGTTTAAAAAAAGAGTTCTGGAGGCCGAGGTGGGTGGATCACGAGGTCAGGAATTCAAGACCAGCCTGGCCAACATGGTGAAACCCCATGTCTACTAAAGATACAAAAATAAGCTGGGCGTGGTGGCGCACGTCTGTAATCCCAGCTACTTGGGAGGCTGAGGCAGGAGAATTGCTTGAACCTGGGAGGTGGAGGTTGCAGTGAGCCAAGATCGTGCCACTGCACTCCAGCCTGGGTGACAATGCAAGACTCCATCTCACAAAAAAAAAAAAAAAAAAAAAAGTTCCATTATAATTTACACTAGTCAATTTACTGGAAAAGTAAAAATATGGTAAGAATGCTGAGATTATCAGTAGTTTCTATTTTCTAGTTATGTTTTAGTTGCTTCCAAAGAAACTAAAATTTTTCTCAAAAAGTTGTATTTCTATGATCTTAGGAAATGGCAGTGGTTATTCATTGCTTTGTTCATTCTAATCCATTGTATTATAAAAATGTGACTGCATAGTCTTGAGCTTAGATATTTGACTTTATGTACAGTTATGCATCACAGAGGGACATTTTGATCAATGATAGACTGCATATATGATGAGGGTCCTATAAGATTATATTATTGTATTTTTACTTTATCTTTTCTATGTTTAGATACACAAAAATTTACCATTGTGTTACAATTGCCTACAGTATTCAGTACAGTAACATGATGTACCGGTTTGTAGCCTAGGACCAATAGGCTATATACCATTTGTGAAAGTACAACTTATGATGTTTCTACAATGACAAAATCATCTAACCACGCATTTCTTAGAGTGTATGCTGTCATTAAGCAATGCATGCCATGTATCTTAAAAGAAATAAATTACTTAATTCCTACCAAAATTTTACAGATAGTCTCCAACTTAAGACATCACCTTGGTTTGGCCAAATCTATCTATTCCAATAGACTGAGTATCCTATTAAAAAAAAATCAATGAAGTCTCTTCGAAAGAATTTTTTTACTAAAGCATCAAATAAATCTCCAATCCTTCCATGGCATCTTCCTAACAGTAAATCAAAAAATGACCCTTCATAATATTAGGAAAATTTTGTTCTTGGACTAATTTCAGGAGAACTTGTATCTTTCTTAGGAAATTAAGTCTTGCATTAATGTAATACTACTTTTTTTTTTTTAAGGTAATGAAATGAACAAGTGGAGTGAAATGATATGACCTGATGCTTCAGTATCAGGGCAGTAGGGAGAATACTACTTGGGCGAAGGTCATCACTTAGCTCCCTGAGATGCACAGCAGGATAGGGTTGCTGTATTCCATGACAGCTAGCACGGTGCCTTTTGTGGAGTGGGTAGTCAACACTGGTTCTTCCTATCTAATACAGAGAAATGTTCAGGAGTAACATTGGTCTCAACTGAATCAATGTGTTTGATCATTTATGATTGGGACATATTTCATTTTATGCCAAGAATGCAGTAACATGTTAAAAATACAAAATTATTATTATTTGAGTTATCTAGTTTGACCTGTGTGTTTTAATCAGTTTTCAAAGCCAGTGCCTTTCTCTGTGTGGACAAGATTTCAGAGTTTATCATGCACAAAGTTTCTTCTAAAAGCTGAATATAATTTTAGACCTTAAAGATTTCAACATATGGAAATAAATTAGGCATCTTCAACACATTTGTGAGACCTAAGTAAATCCACATCTAAATTGGTACAGTGTTTTGATATTTTTATCCTTCTTGATTGAATTAAGACTATTTTCCACTAAGCCTGAAAAAACCTGGAGGGAATGAAAGTAGCAAGTTTGTACAATGACTTTAACAGACCTCAGTAGTTAAAATGTGCTTTATCATTTAATGTTTATCTTAAAATGTAATAACAATAGAAAACTTGGCTATGTGATAGAATATGAGAAACTTTAGCAAAATGTTTACTATTACTTCACAGTAAATACTGTGCTGAAAATCAGTAAGAGTCCTCCTTGCCTGCAAATCACACTACCACCACCATCATCACTGCCAAAATGATAAAACCCAATGCTTAACTCTTGCTGCTTCCACTGTATCAGTGGAAAATAAAAGCGAAATATTCTTTATACCACCTTTCTTATGTTTCTGTTCCTTGAAAAATTGTGTTCCATAAATTTTCAGAATCTCTGGGACAAGATCAGAATTTTTTCTTAAAATTCTATATACAATTCTCTTTTATTTATTTATTTTTTTTGAGACAAGAATTTTGCTCTTGTTGCCCAGGCTGGAGCACAGTGGCACGATGTCAGCTCACTGCAACCTCTGCCTCCTGGGTTCAAGTGATTCTACTGCCTCAGCCTCCCAAGTAGCTGGGATTACAGGTGCCCGCCACCACACCCAGCTATTTTTTTGTATTTTTAGTAGAGACAGGGTTTCATCCTGTTGACCAGGCTGATCTTGAACTCCTGACCTCAGGTGATCCACCTGCCTTGGCCTCCCAAAGTTCAGGGATTACAGGCGTAAGCCACTGTGCCCGGCCTCTTTCTTTAAATTCTATTGTGGATTAAAGGCAAAATTTATGAACTTCCCTTAAAAAAAAAAAAGCCCACACTATTCCAAAAGGAAGACCTTAAAATGTTTCAATTTTATAAAACTTCTGATATTCAAACTTTTAAACATGTTTAATTTTCATAATATCCACCAGCTATGAAAGATACAGTATGATAGGGACTGTAATACATTCACTTCTCTGGTTTTGCCATTAAAAAGTGGAAACCAATTAAGCACAAACTTTCCAGTTGTTTATGTTCATTATAGGATAATTCAACATAAGACCTTATCCCACATAAAATTATTCAATGTAACTAAACATTTTGATTGACACATATCACATACACATGCATAGAAGGCATAAAAGGCCACTCCGTACCCTAAGAACTATGTGTGTGCCTGTGCAATTGTCTGTTCGTTGTCTCATAGGTATGAGTATCTCTTTTCTCACTAGCAGCTTTGATTACAAACTGCATTAAGCCAATTTGGTCATTCAGAATTTTGACATTATTTTAATATATATTGGTAACCTCCATCAGTTAATGGCCATTGTGGCCCACAGTTGCCACTAACCTTGCTTACGGGTGAGATATAACGACACCTGTTATCTCAGGTTTACATATTATATCACATATATAAACATTTATTACCAAACAGGCAAAAAATGTCACAGAACTTTTAATCTCATTGAAGTCCCAGCTTACTGTCATTCTAGGCATTCTGTCAAGCACCATAAATGAAAAGTTCATTTAAGATAGTTGTTACAATATGCCAGCAGCATCATTTAGCCAAACTTAAGTCAGAGCAGGCAACATAATCTTTTGAAAATGGCTACGCAAAAGACTTAATCTTTAGGTCTAAAAAATAACTCTGAAGGGTATTGACTGTTAGCCTACCTCCATAGTTCTCTTTTCTTCTTATAATAATTAAGGTGCCTGTGTAACATTTCTAATTGACTCACATCTTAAACACCACTTACTTAAGCAATGGATAAAAAAGTCTTGTATCCTTATATTAAATAACAAACCTTTTACTACTTGAGAGAAAGAAGGCTTAAACACTCATAGTAACATCTCTGGAATGTGAGCTTCTAATTAGAGGTTTTCAAATGCTAACTACTCTGAATCTAATGAAACTTACTGCATATTTATATCACATTATCTATTCTTAGATATTTTAAAGTTTCATACAATAAAAGTCACTTATAAAAGATTATTATGAATGATAACTACCAAAATCAGAAATCATTTTATATTTTAGTAAGCAAGGCAAAAAGTAATCTTATGATATGTTGTCATTGCAGTTAATACTATATTAATACAGATTAGAAATGCATGTGTTCACATAAAATAAACCAAAATGTCATTTCCTTAACTCTGATGCAACAATTATTTTGAATTCCAGATATGTTCCAAGTTCATGTCTAATAAAATTTACTTTTTATTATGAGAATGATCACCAAGCCTCAGTCATTGTGGTCTCAAAATTTCATCTGGTGATTCTAAACTTGGAGTTAGGGGGAAAACAAAACATGATGTGAAGTGATTACAGCAATTAAACTAATTAACATGTCCATCATCTCACATAGTTATCTGTGTATGTGAGGTGAGAACATTTAAGATCTATGCTCTTAGCAAATTTTGAGGGTATACAATAAAGTTTTATTAACTATAGTCACCATGCTGTACATTAGATTTCTAGAACTTATGTTGATTCCATAAGATTAGAATATTATATTTTTATGGTATCTTTTCTCTGTTTTGATATGTTGAGATACACAAATACTTCCCATTGGATGACAATAGCCTACAGTATTCAGCACAGTGGCATGCTGTGCCGGTTTATAGCTTAGGAACAACAGGCTATACCATGCAGCCTAGGTGTGTAGTAGGCCATACCATCTGAATTAATGTAAGTACACTCTATGATGTTCATGCAATGACAAAATCACGTACAATGCATTTCTCAGAAAGTATTTATACATTGCTTTTGTATCATGGCTTGTGACTAATACTGCAATGAACATGAAAGTGCAGCTATCTCTTTGAAATACTAATTTCTTTTCCTTTGGCTATATATCCAGACATGAGGTTGCTGAATCATATGGTAATTGTATTTTTAATTTTTTACGGAACCTCCATACTGTTTTCTGTAATGGCTGTACTAGTTTACATTCTCACTAGCAGTGTTCAAGAGTTGCCTCTTCTCCACACACCTGACTCCTTAGCAGTTTGAAATAATCATTCCTGCTCATGCCTCTTCTGCAGCTGTCTCACCTCCACATGAATAGACCTGGCACTACCTCTCACCAACACTTGTTATCTCTTGTCCAAATAGTAGCCAATCTAAGAAGTGTGAGATGACATGTCATTGTGGTTTTGATTTGCATTTCCCTGATGATTAGTGATGTTGAGCATTTTTTTTTCTTTTTTTTTTGAGGCAGTTTCGCTCTTGTTGCCCAGGCTAGAGAGCAATGGTGCGATCTTGGCTCACCGCAACCTCCACCTCCTGGTTTCAAGCCATTCTCCTGCCTCAGCCTCACTAGTAGCTGGGATTACAGGCATGCACCACCATGCCTGGCTAATTTTGTATTTTTTGTAGAGGCAGGGTTTCTCCATGTTGGTCAGGCTGGTCTTGAACTCCCGACCTCAGGTGATCTGCCTGCCTCGGCCTCCCAAAGTGTTGGGATTACAGGCGTGAACCACTACACCTGGCCGAGCATTTTTCTTAAAAATATATCTGTTGGCGAGAATTCGTCTATTTCTTATGTTTGCATATTCTTTTTTGGTCTCCATTCCAAAATGTCTTCTTTTATCATTAGTTATTTTTTCTCCTTCCTTATATCTTCTCCCTGAATTTGAGTTTCTAGAAGACAGGGCTTAAATGTTATTTGTATTTCCTTCTCACTCAGAGCTCAAGAATAGGCTTTGCCCACTGAACATGTTCAACAAAAAACTGGTAATTTATACTGATAGAGCACACAGGTATGCGTCAAAGAAGGGAATGATTCTTTCTCCATGCGTGAAAGTGTGCAGTCCCATCTGCCTTCACAAATTCATACCATTTGGCCATTTCTTTCTGACAAATCTCATTTTAAACCCAAAATGTAGAGTTGTATCTGTCACGTAGTAAACTTGTAATAAATGACTGTTAAATATTTGGAAAAATAAACTCTGGAACGGTCATGTGTCACTTAATGAGGATGATACTTTCTGAGACATGCATCATTAGGTGTTTTTTGTTATTGTGTCAACATCACAGGGCGTATTTACACAAACCCAGATGTACTACACACCTAGGCTACCTGGTAGCCTATTGTTCGTAGGCTATAAACCTGCACAGCATGCTACTGTACTGAATACTATAGGCAATTGTCACACAATGGGAAGTATTTGTATATCTAAACATATCAAAACATAGAAAAGGTACATTAAAAATATGGTATTCTAATTTTATGGGACTAGTGTTGTATATGTGGCCCATCATTGACTAAACCTTCATTATGTGAAGTTGATTATGTGAAGTCTTCATTGACTAAAACTTCATTGACTAAAATACAGCATTTGACTGTATTTATTATTTTTCATCTTTACCCAATATTTGGAACTATTTAAAAATATGTTTCCCCTTGTATTTCAAATATACCCACAGGAAGTCTATATAAATTCTGAATGAAAGAATAGATTTAAGAATAAAACATAGTTAATAAATAAAAATACTCTTTAGGAGGCTGTATGGGTCTGAAGTGGTAGATTTTGGGGTAAGTAAAATTTTGATATACCGTTACATTTCCAAAAATAGTTAGGAGGGTACATAGAAATCTGTATGCCCTTTACCCAAATGCCTCAGTTATTAATATTATGTCATATTTACATGCATACTCCCAGTAATATACAATATTCTTTTTTTGTTTTTGTTTTTGAGACGTAGTCTTGCTCTTGTCACCCAGGCTGGAGTGCAGGGGCATGGTCTTGGCTCACTGTAATCTCTGCCTCCTGGGTTCAAGCGATTCTCCTGCCTCAGCCTCCCAAGTAGCTGGGATTACAGGTGCCCGCCACCATGCCTGGCTAATTTTTTGTATTTTTAGTAGAGACAGGGTTTCACCATGTCAGCCAGGTTGGTCTCAAACTCCTGACCTCAGGTGATCTGTGCGTCTCAGCCTCCCAAAGTGCTGGGATTACAGACGTGAACCACTGTGCCCAGACAGTAATATACAATATTCTGTTCTCATTAAACTTTCACATATTGGTGTTTCTCATCTGAATCAATTATTACTATGAAAATTGCCCAATGGCAATTTGTTAATTTGGGTAATTCTAATTTTATCATTCTTTCTATATTTGTTAGTAGAGCTCTAAGATAAAGCATTTTTTCTTTATTATTTATATCAGTATGGATTCATAGATTTTTATTTTATTTGATGAGTTCTGATTCATTTATGTTCTTATTTAATTTGATTCTCAAATTGGCTTAATTTTTCCAGTTAAACTCTCTCCAAACTGTCTTCTGGATCCTTTTCACAGGTCCCCATCATTCCTGAGAATTTCCTTATTTCTTGGCACAAGTTGGCCAAGGCTAATCTTGTACTTTTCCTGCCCCAACTCTGGATTGGCCGTTTCTTAATAATACTTGGTTCCTTTTTAGTGGATAATCATATTTAGAAATTGTTTTGTGGTTATTAATCAGTCATCCATTCAAAAATCTTACATTTATTTTAGCATTGCTGTACATGATTGATCTCACATTTACTCTGCTTGCACATTTCTTAATGAGAGACAACCTCTAAGAAAAACTTTAAAAATATTCTATGTAATTATTAAAATTTAAAATAATTGGTAAAATAAGAATATTTTATATTTAAAAGTCTTATACATTCTGATTAGCTTAATAATACTCATTTTTTTTGTGTGTGTATCATGGCTAACTTATCGAGGGGGAAAACAGTACCTTTTTTTTCCCAAAAAATTCAGGCCATTGTACATTTAGAAAATAAAGATATAGGATAGTTAAATATATAATTTTTGCTTTTAATGTCATTGCTAGTTCCAATTTATTCTACATGAATAAATGCAAAACAATTTACCGACTTAATCAAAATATACCTTTGATAATGATAATTGACAGGTAAGATTTGCTTATTCCATTTATATTTGTTGCTCAAGCATCTATTTTCATTGATGTGTTTCTATGGGAGACTAATGCCTTGGAATTTTTGAAAAGTGTAATTATGCTAATATAATTCATGGCACCTTTGACATCTGTTTAGACATATGAAAAGTAGATTCACTTTTCCAGTGAGTATTTTTGGCAAGGGTAAAATTTTCCCCAAAATGTATTTTCAAATGTAGTCAGCTAACTCCTGACTTTGATAGAACACAGAGTAAAAGTGAAAATCTTCCTGACTTTTTTTGCTGCAGGGACACTCTAAACTAAGTGCAGGCCACTTGATTCTCCCTGACTTCAACCCAGCCACGAACTCTGGGACAATCATGGGCTATGAGTCCTAGAGGAGTGTCACAGTGGCTCATGATTGCATCAGCCTTCCTGCTAACATGGGTCTGACCAATTTCTCCCGATAACTGGACTTCTTTCTTAAAAGCAGAAACCTGCTAGGTCTGTTAATGGGACATTTCTCTTATCCCCGGAGCTGAATATCTTCTATAATTCTTCTATCATTGTAACTTAAACACATTTAAATAAACTTAAGACTAAAGCATGTTTTTAAATTATTTGGCAGATTTCAGCATAAAAGCTATAATAGCTCTGAACTTCAGGGCCAGTATGAAATCTTCATGATATGGATATATGTGAAAGAAAATTCATCAATAATGGTGTATTTTGGTGGGAGGCTCACAAATATAGTATAGTCCAATTCCTCACATTATAGATTTACAGATGAAGTGAAGAGGTGGCTTTTTTTATGAAACTTACTCACTCTTATTTTGAATGAAGTCTAAAGTAACCCCCAAATTCAAAATCAGGACATCACTTTGCTTCCTCTGATGCTGGTTGTCCTACTGTGTAACATTTCACCTTCCAATTCCACCTTTTCTTCTCTTCCATTTGGAAGAGAAGAACAATGGAAGAACATTCCACTATTCTCTGTTCACATATCTTCTGATCAATAGCTAATTAATTTTAATGACATTCTTAATAATCTTACTTGCCAATAGTGCCATTTTTTGGATTTTAGAATACTAATTAAAAAGGAATTCTACTTAAATCATTTAAACTTTCTAGAACCTAAGAAGTATTGTAGGGGTTGGGAGTTAGCTCAAGCTTTGCTTTCACACTCCTTGATAGATTGCAATTGAAGTAATAATTTATAGGTTATTTAAAAATTTTAATTTAGTGTAACTCTAATTTAATATATAAAAGCTCTGAAGACCATGTACCTACCTTTAAAAAAATCGAACTGAGCACAGTATTCAGGTAGCTATGGAAACTTTTTTTTTTTTAAATGTTGAGGGAAATCCAAATAAGTCACACACATTCTGATTTTTTTTTTAATACCTCCTTTTGTCTTAATAACTTAGGTCATATAAAATAAAAAATTTTAGAAATAAAGCAATTGATGGAAATGTTTTAAAAGGGAAACTATAGGAATTGCACATACTATTATTGACAAAATATTTGAAGATCCTAAGTTTTTACTGAAGCAATACAAATGATTTATAATGAACTTGGTCTTAGAATAATGAAAAGGTATAATATATTTCTCTAGTATCCAGGAGTTCAACATGATTTAAAAGGGTATTTTAAATGACATTAAAGTTTAAAATGTAGAATTTCTTTCAGTCTTATTCCTCTCCCCACATACTAAGCGAGTACACGTCTCTAATTTCTAGCCAGGGGACGAATGCTTATCCTCTGACTTTGCCCCAGCCTCATCCCATACAGCTGCCTAATTATTGCCAAATCTAATTTTTGTGAAACGCTCCCACAATGACTACTGATAGCTCCACTGGCCTGTCTAAATGTTGACAAATTGCTAGCTTATTGTTCAAATTACTGAGAATAAAATGAAAAGAAACACTTCTTTTCATATAACAACATGTCTTCCAACAGTTTTCAAACATTAGAACTACTTATGTATGGCGTTTATATCTATCTTCAGAGATGTTTTTGCAGAAAGTTAATTGTTTGGGCTAGTTATAATAAAATGTCAAAAAGGAACATTGTGTTGAATGTGTTGTCCAGAAAAATCTTGAATATCTTGATACCTTAGTAGACAAGTCAAGACTTTTTGTGCAAAAAGTCAGGATGGAACAATAACGCTTGTAGACACTGCCCATATTTATTAGAAGCAAAAGAAAAAATTAGAATTTAGTGGCCCACGCCTAAACATGATTGGCAATTTTAATATCGTAGACAACCTAAGTTTTTTTTTTTCAATTTAAGCTTCTTTAATGTTGATGAAAGGTATTTGTAGTTCATATAAACCATACTCACGTGAAGGATAGCAGATGCTTCATACAAATTATCACTTTGATATACATATCTTGCGGTTTATGAGAAAAGAGAAAAAATAATACATCGGTTTTGCTACCTTTTAATGGTTTTTTTTTTTAAGGGATTGTTTTTTAGGTCTTGTCAGCAACATCAAACAAAAGGTACTGAGTACTCCACAGGGTACAGAGTGCTGCCAAGCACCTTAGAAAAATTACATGACACGGAGAAAATGTGCTTCTTGCTCCTTGAAGAGCTTACAGTCTAGGGATTTGACAACTCACAGTCTTAGGAACTGAGCGAACAACAAAGTAAGGCAAATTCTTCATCCCCTAGAGCTATTGTGGACTGAATCATTTTAGACTTTAGAATTAATCCAATCAAGATGAGAGACAAGACTAAATTTGGCCGAGAATACGTTCAGGCTCACATAGTTTTTATTAACATCCGTCTAGTAAACAGAATGGACCTAACAGACAACTGAAAGGAAGGACTAAATCTCTTGAAGTGCAAGGGCTACAACAACTTAATTGTGGTTACTTATTTTAAAAAGCAAACATACTGAATGGTATGACTAGGGTGATTACACTAGTTTAAAAATAGGCCAGGTACTGACACTGCATTCCCCTCATGCATTGCTCATTTAAAATAGTGAATATTAAAATACGTGGGCTTTACATCTAACCCACAGAAAGCCCACCACAAATGTTCTGTGTATCAAATATCCACCTCATGTGTACTAAGAAAGTTTTATTTATGCCCCATTAAGTCAAAAGTAAATAGTAAAATTATAGTAAGCTAATGACCTGCATATTTTCATATGGATGAATGTCAGTATATCTAAATAGGAAATAAATGGTGATCCTATCTACCTATATAAAAAAATAGAATATCTTTCCAGATTTTGAATATTCCTCACTATAAGAAGAGGTATGCAGGTTTTAAGGTTTCATAATCAGTTGCCAGAAAAACAGCAGTTATGCCTTCAGTATCTCGTTAGCATCTGACTCAATTATTTTTAGATTATATTGTTTAGAAGACATTGTAAACCCATCTAAAAATTTGTAATTATTTTGAGATGGTTCCAATGTTAACCCTAGAATCATCATCAGAAAGAGTAACAATGTGATGTAGAAGAACAGCTAATCAACATGACTAAAAATATGCTCATTTTCAGAAAAACAATCTGGTCATCTGGAAACAATCACGCTACAACCTAGGGAACACTCCCATGTGGGATACTGATCTGGCCAAGGCACACTTTCTAGGCAGGAAAACTATCAGATCAGGGTGAATTTAGGCCACTTCAGAGGAGCTGCCTATAAACATCCAGACAGACCTTCTTAGGCAGCAGAACTGGTCCAATTCCTCTTAAAACAGTTTGACACTACCCTACCCACATCAACCCAAAGCTTGAAGTTAAGTCAAAAGAGCATATTGGAGCAAAAGTGAACAGATGTGTAAACTCTAGGACATTCTTATTGCTGTATTAAGTTTGAAGATGAGCACATCCTACCCACAACAGTATTGTTCCAGGAAGCAGGGTAGGAGTAGTGGTAAATTAGAAAATAGACTATTAATTGCCCAATTAATAGAAAAGTAAAAACATGTTTCCAAATCTACAATAAACCTGTATCCAAAGGAGTCCTATACGTCAGTGATGTGCTGGACTCTGAATTCTGTGGTACAGCTTTGCACTGGACTCCTTCCGGCCTACTGGTCTGGGTACGGCTTGCTTCCTGCCTGTTGAAGGGTGAATACGCTACACAGAGCTATGATGGTTTCTACTGACTGGTAAAATTCACAGAAGTTCCAGGTTCATCATGTCAGTATCATTCCTTGTGCAAAGTTTGATGTAGACGAAGATAAAGTGTTTTCTTGGTCAACAATTGCAATTTCTTTCTTTTAAAGTCAGTGGGTTTCTTGTATAGTTCTATTACAATTGGCCCAGGTTTAATTTCATCCATCTCCATGAAAGCAAAACACTTGGTGCTGGTAAACCTTTTTTTAGGCTTGTAGTGTTTGAATTCAAAGAAGATAGCTGCACCTTTGATTAATTTTTCAACATGCTTCTGGAGCTCAATGTCCACATTAAAATGAACATATGTATCTTCTTTTCTTGAAGCCACAGGAGTATCTTGCACAGGAGTTAAGTCTATGCCATTCAGATCCTTTACTCTAACTGTAATATAGGGATCGATGCACTGCCCAGCATCTTTCAAACCAATTTTCTCAATTCTGATAGTGAGTAATGTCATTCCTGGTTCCAATGGCAACCCTGGTATCTAAAGCATCGGGAACTCTAGCAGGAAAAGAATCAGGAGATCCTGCTCCAGCACCACCCTCTTCTTCTTCTTCAAATTCCAAATTCTCTTCTTTACCAGGTGCCAAAATTCTTCTTAATGGGACAGGCTGAATATCAAATGGGAATTCTTTATTATATGTAAGAATATTCTTTAGGATTGGTTCTAGCTTCTTCAGGTCCTCCAGTTTAAATTCTTCTTGAGACTGTGTGGACTGTAAAGCTGCACTTCACAATTCTAAGCATGTTGCAATTTTGCCTATGGTTTTCTTTTGTTCTTCTGTGAATTCAGAATTATTGTGTTGAGCTTGGGCCTCTTTTTGTAGATGTCTTGCTAATATCTGATACTCATCTATCGCCTCCACCGGCTGGCCCCAAAAGTCGAAGTTGGCGCCTCTCCTAAAACTGGCGCCCCAGAGCTGCAGCAGACTCCAGGTCACCTCCGACATGGCCAGTCTCCACCCCGTCCCCTCCCGCAGCCTGAGGCATTTGAACCTTAAGTACTGACAGTGGGAGGCTGAAGCCTATTCAGTTGGGAGCTCTCCCAGCCACTTTCAAAGATCTTGCTTCTTTTTGGAGGCTTACTCTGCTGCTGCTAAGTCAGTTATCTTCTGTTCATAGAGTTTCTTGACTCTATGCCAGCCACTGAATTTTTTTTTTTTTTTGGTGACAGAGTTTCGCTCTTGTCACCCAGGCTGGAGTGCAATGGCACGATCCCGGCTCACCACAGCCTCCACCTCCCATATTCAAGCGATTCTCCTGCCTCGGCCTCCTGAATAGCTGCGATTACAGGCATATGCCACTATGCCTGGCTAATTTTGTATTTTTAATAGATACGGGGTTTCTCCATGTTGGTCAGGCTGGTCTCGAACTCCCGACCTCAGGTGATCTACCTGCCTTGGCCTCACAAAGTGCTGGGATTATGGGCATGAGCCACGGGCTTGGCCCTGGATTCTTAATTAATACAACAAAGGCTTTAAAAAGATGTTCCCCTTTAGAAACTGAAGAAATCCAAAGGCATGGTTTGATTGTCGGAGCTGGTGGCAAAGGTGTTTTAGCAGCTGCAGAAGTGGGAGGAAATAGTAGGAGAGACCATTATTAGTTACAGCTTGGAAGAATGTTTCCACATGAAAATGATAAATGTTTTTTACCTGTGACTTTGAAATGTAAAAAATGCCTTTCCTTTGGTGCCTTAGTCATTTCCATGTCTCTCTCCTTGTCTCTTCTTAATAGAAGTAATGAAGGAGCAGGAACAAAGCATTACACATATACTATGAATATAAATATACCTGAATCCTCTCCTGCAGCTCCTACAAAACTCCTTTAAAATACTCTTCTCCATCTTCATAATCCAATAATCAGTGGGAATATTTCCACATGCTGTCAAAATTTCAGAGATTCTTCTCTTAGGATGACAGAGTAGTAGCAGCTGCAGAGAAATGGACAGTTTTAGTAGTAACTGACATCAGTAGGAAGACTATCATGAGATGGTAGACAAAATTTGACTTTTATTTCTTTGAGGGTAGAGTAGGGATATAGCCAAAGATAAATTCATGGCAAGGGAAAATAAAATTAATGAACTAACATTTACTGAATAATTACTAACAGCCAGGTAATGTGAAGTAGACATTTTTATAAATTCTTGACCATGTCATCAAAGAGTGCACCAAAAACCACAAAGGGAGAGAGATAAGTCTGCCTTTTGAGAGCTACACAACACAATTGAAAAAATTATCCTAAAAAGAATAGGGCTACAAGACTTGGTTGTAAAATAATTGAAAGTTATATGCCTTTATTCTGAGCAAACTATCTCAAGGACAGAAAACCAAACACCGCATGTTCTCACTCATAGGTGGGAATTGAACAATGAGATCACTTGGACACAGGGTGAGGAATATCACACACAGGGGCCTGTTGTGGGGTGGGGGGAAGGGGGAGGGATAGCATTAAGGAGAAATACCTAATGTAAATGATGAGTTAATGGGTGCAGCACACCAACATGGCACACGTATACATATATAACAAACCTGCACGTTGTGCACATGTACCCTAGAACTTAGAGTATAATTTAAATAATAATAATAATAATTAAAAAAATTAAAAAAAGAAAAGCTGAGGAATTTCAAACTACTGTTAATTAAAACTGTAATCATTTCCTAAATAGGCATAAATAAAAGGGATGTTCTTGATGTTCAAAAAAAAAAAGAGAGTTATATGCCTTTCTTCAAATATTCTGTCCATAAATAGGGAAGCTCATAAAAGTAGGGGCTTAGAGAAAGACAAAACATGGAGGCAAATATCAAGAATGACCATCTAATACTCTTAAGCAGGAGCCCTCCAGACTGGCCAGAGTATTATGTCCATATGACAAATGTAGCTATGTGGAGAAAGCTAGAGTTATGTTATACACCTAAATAAATAACCAACTTTCCTTGTTCAAATTCCTCACTCAGCAAGAACCTTTCTGTTCATTTGGCTTTCCATGTAGCTCACCTTCAGGGAGAGACTGCAGCAGACAAGTTCACATGACAGAAAGCTCTCCTTAAAATTAATGTGTAGCATGGTGACTGTAGTTAATAATACTGTATTACATACTTGAAATTTGATAAGAGAGTAGATATTAAATGTTCTCACCACACACACACACACACACACACACACGGTAACAATGTGAGGTGACGCATATGTTATTAGGTTGGTGCAAAAGTAGTTGTGGTTTTGCCATTACTTTTGATTAATGACATTAAGTACGTTGCAAATTACAGTTATGTTCAAGGTCTTGAACATGACTGCACAATGCCTTGTATTATGATGCTTCCAGTGTTCAACCAGATCCTCAGCTGTAACTTTTTCATGTCAAAGACAGAGAATAGTAAGATTTAGTAAACTGTCAAAGCAACATTCTAAATTGAGTCCAAGGATCATTTGCATTCTCACTAGTTAGTTCCTCAGGAGTATGAAACATCATTAAAACATGCTGTATTTAAAGAGTTTTGCCTATTAATTAGCTTGATGGCAGTAATCATTTCACAATGTATACATATATCAAAATAGTACTTTATATATCTTAAATATATAATTTTTATTTGTCAATGATATATCAATAAAGCTGGAAAAGATTAATTTTAAAAGTTAGAGGAAAAAACCTTAATGTACAACAATGTATACTTATCTACTGTGTTTTGATAGCTTGATTCAGGATTGCTGAGGCCAGTCTACTCTGGGGCCCCGGCGATTTTTCCTTTCTGAGCTTTCAGGACTGAAGGTCAGAACTTGAGTATTGCAGAATCATTGAGGTTAAAGCCACTTGTGGATACCTAAGGGGGAAGCTGGTGAGGATTGACCTGGTGACGACCTCCTTTGTCTTATTTCACTCTTTCTTTGAACTTCTATAGGTATGATTTTCTCCATTTTACAGTCAAAGAAGATACTGAAACTCCGAAATATAATATGGCAAAGTCCACCCAGATAACAAGTGGCAGAGCTGGAGTTTAACCAATGTCTATAAAATATGAGAGCTTATTCTTTCAGTCACTACACGGTGCACCCTTCCATAAATGGTACTGAGGTATCCAGAAGTAGGAAACAGCTTTATGTCGCTACAAAGTATTATTCAATGTGGCCAACTTTGTCATATATTATTAATCCTTATTGAGTGTATGAAAAGCTCAGTTACTATATATTATGAACAAATCGAAATGAATATTCATCAGAGAAAATATAAAAAATCCTAAACAATACACACACAGATGCTACGGCTTCATGCTTAATCCTAATACATGCAGCAAAGATAGAATGTTGCTTAGAATAACCATTAAGTTGTGCTACTTACGTTTATATTTTCTAGGATAATGAAGTAAGTAAGGCCTTTCTCCTAAGTATACTTGATTAGAGCAGTGAGCACATCCTAATGAGTGCTCGATGGATGGTACAGCACGTTAATTTACATAATAATGCTTTCATTTGCATTATTTCCCTTGTTACTCCAAATAACCCTGGGTGCTAGGCAGGGTTGGTATTTTTCATTTTCATTTTACTTTGTAAAAACTGTTTCAAAGTGTCAGAAATGGTTCTCAGACCCTTTAAAGAATCCTGGATATGGAATATGGCACAAGGCTGTCTGAAAAATTGTTTTGAGTACTGACAAGCACATTGTCTTTCTTCTATTGCAACTTTAACATGCATCTGACATTATTTTTATCATTCCAGCCATTGCTTTTGCTTTGTTCCTGCAATGCAGTTAACCCAATTTGGGATCTGGCCTTTTGTCTTCTGGGATCCCAGCTTAAGTACTCATCTTCTGCCTGTTTATATGAAAAGTCTCTGAAACTTTCCCATTCTCCTTTGTGCTCTTTTCAGCTGTCTGGCAAATACTACATCTTCATAATAGATGAAGAACCCAAGGCTGAAAGAGGTTAATTAAATTATCTAGTGCCACACTACTAATAGGTGAGAGGATTGGGACTTTAGCTTTTGTTTCTCTGACACCGAACCCTGTGTTCTTCTCATTAACTACACTGCAAATTATAGTAGTGTTCAAGATCTTGAACATGACTGTCTGCACGGTGCCTTGTATTAGTTCTAATAATGATGCTTCCAGAGTTCAACCAAATCCTCAGCTGTAACTTTTTCATGTCAAAGACAGAGAACAGTAAGATTTAGTACATCATCAAAGCAACATTCTAAATTGAGTCCAAGGATCATTTGCTTTCTCACTAGTTAGTTCCTTAGGAGTTTGAAACATCACCACAACATGCAGTAGTTCAAGGTTTTTGCCTAATACAGATGAACGCAGAACATGCAGCGTAGGCAGCCCTACTGCTAAAGGAAGATGTACTTACAGTGAAACAAGGTGTCTGCAAATAAGTGCTATTAATCGATTTCCCCGACACTTAATTTTTCTTTTTCTTTTTGTAAATCTTTTAAGTGTTTAAAATGTTAGCAGTACTGCTTTTGGAATTATATATTAAAGAAACAGTTCTCTTTTCAAATATTTTTTCTACTCCAAAGAAGTTTGATCCCCATTTGAGAACTTTTGATTTGCCTTGTGATTGGCTTCATGTTGAGTCAAGTTTGTGCAGATTAGTTTTGTGCTTTGGAAAACTATAGAGTAAAAGGGTCAGTCAATATATTCTAATCACTAAACACACATTTCACATGAGAAAGTGACATAGCCTTAATAAAACAATCCCCTGAGAGCAAAGCTTTGAAATATTTATCAAACACAACTTTCATAAATCCTGCAGAGAAAAACTGCTTGAGCAGGACAGATACCACAAAGCACTGCTGCTATTTGCCTCACCCAGTAGAAGTTAAAGGCAATTCTTTGTAAAAAGCTGTCAGTCAGTCTTTTAGACTTATGTTCTGTGAAGAAAAATGCTGTAGCGAATGATCTAATTGCTAGTTCTATTCATGTGTGGGTTGACTTTCTTTCTCTTTTTTTGTTTTTTTGAGACAGGGTCTGGCTCTGTCCCCTAGGCTAGAGTGCAGTGGCACAGTCATGACTTACTGTAGCCTTGACCTCCTGGGCTCATGCGATCCTCCTGTCTCAGCCTCCTGAGTAGCTGAGACTATAGGTGTGTGCCATCATGCCAGGCTAATTTTAAAAATTTTTTGGAGAGACAGAGTTGGTTTGCCCTTTATTAAAGGCATTTTGGGCAATAGCATATTTGATTTTATTAAGTACAATAGATATTATGTATCCATAATGCCTATATGCCAAGAGCAATACATGGGTAAGAGCATAGATTTTGGAGCCAGACTAGCTGGCTCCGGGCTTTATTAGCTATATGTGCCTAGGCAACTTACCTTTTTGTGCCTCAACTTTTAATCTGTAAAATGGAGAAAATGAAAGTAGCTATGTCATAGGCTTATTGTGAAGATTGTATTAATAAGAGAAAAGCATTTGAGACACACCCTGGCACAATTGTAAGCATTCAAAATGTTCATTACTGTTATAGTGAATGTGCCAGGTTGATATGGTCACAGCAATTAAAAAATAACAAAGACATGTTGAGTATATCCTATACGTACCCTGAGCTGGCCTCACACGATGTAGTTTGTCCCTTGATTGTGTTGTTTTTTCCTCTTGCTTATGGATTTAGTAGGCCAGGAATGAAGCCCAGGCTCTCCCATTTCCTGAAATAGATAAATTGCTTGGAGCTGTGCTGTCTAATATGGTAACCACTGGCCACACATGGCTCTGAAAAATAAAGTTTATATGAACTAAAATGGAATAAAATTTAAAAATTCAGTTCCTCAGTCACAGTGGCCACAATTTCAGTGCTCAATAGTCACGTGTGGCTAGGGACTACCATATTTGATGGTACAGAACACTTCCAACTTTGTATAAGGTTCTGACAGCAGATTTGGTACTAGGCTTCTCTACTTTCATCCCAACATATAACTAGTATAATTAGCTTCTAACTTTCAAATGAGATACGTTTTGAAAGTTCATTGGTAAGTTGGTAGGAGCTTTGACTAAAACTCCTTATGAACAAATTATATTAAGATTATGGCAACGTGAAGCATATGAACAGAAAATGGCTAATAAGCATAAGAAAATGTTGAATCTCATTAGACATGGAAATTACAGCAATGAGATTAGTTTTGCTTTTCCAACTGGAAAGATTAAAATAATTACCAGCTACAATGCTGATGACCGTGCAGTGAAGCAAGTGCTTGTGGGTGTTTAAGTTGGTAAAACTTAACCGTAAATCAACTCGACAATACATATTAAAAGTCTTAAAATTGTTTGTATTCTTTGACTCTGTAGTTCATCTTCCAAAACTCTAATATAAGAAAAGAATTAGAGATGCTTACAAGATTTAGTACAAAGGTACTCATGACAGCATTATAGATCGTGATGATTGGAAACAATCTAAGTGTCTTATGATTGGGAAAGTGCGTTACTCTGCTCTCACATTGCTATAAATAAACACCTTAAGCTGCTAAGGTTAATTTGTGCAGAAGAAAAAAAGAAATACCTGAGACTGGGTAATTCATAAAGAAGAAAGGTTTACTTGGTTCATGGTTCTGCAGGCTGTACAAGAACCACAGCAGCATCTGCTTCTGGGGAGCCTCAGGGAGCTTTTACTGATGGCCAAAGGCGAAGTGGAAGCAGACCCATCTGACATGGCTGGAGCAGGAGCAAGAGAGAGAAGTGGGAGGTGCTACATACTTTTAAACAACTTTTAAAAGTGTGAGGTCTCACAGCACACTTTAAAAGTGATAGAATGATATTGTATGTAGTACCAAGCAGGGATGGTGCTAAGTCATTCACTAGAACTCTGCCCCCATGATCCAATCCCCTCCTACCAGGTCCCCCTCCAACATGGGGGATTACAATTGAGTGTAAGATTTGCTGGGGACACAGATGCAAATGATATCAGAAAGGATTAGGGCAATTATGACTTTGATATATTGAAATGCTGTATATCCATCAAAACATTTTGTAGCATGTTTTATAATACAGAAAATACTTCTATAAAAATAAAAGATATATTGAATACTGTATAATATGATTAAATAACTAAAATATACTTAGGAAATGCTTGAAAATAAACTAAAATGTTAATAATGATAATCTCAGTTTGGGGGATGATATGTGGTTGCTTTCTTTTTAATACTCATTTATACTTTCAAATTATCTATAGAATGCATGTGATACTTCTATTATCAGGAAACAAATAAACAGAATTAGAAGAATGCACCAAAACTATTGAGTGCAGGTTATTGATAAATAGTGAATCTAAATAGTGAATAGTGAATCTACTATAAATATGACTAATCAGATAAAAGAAAACATTCCATAACTATTTATTGAACATATAATCTATACTATGTCCTGCATAAGATACTTAGGTTAAAAAATGAATTAAGTATTGAATAAAATAAATCAATCATAAAAATTAATCTGCTTAGGATTTTCAAATCACATACAGACATATCCTACCAGGTTATTATATAGAAATAAATGCATCATGAATTGTAATTGCTTACAACAAACATTTATTTTTGTTCATGTTACATGCCCTTTAAGTGTGGCTGTGGCTGTACTCCATGTCCTCTTCACTTGGGGATGTAGGAGTAGAAAGGGGATGATCTCTTTCCTCTTCATTGTAACGGTCACGGCGAACACCTCTGTAACAAAAGGCAGGTTAACAAAAAAAAGCATGACAAATTTATTGGAGTATAGCTTTGCATTGACACAGGAGCCTTCAGAATGAAGACCCAAAGATACAGGGAAAACTATCTATTTTTATGCTTAGTTTCAAAGAAGTATGGACAGTTGTGTAGAAATGCGACTGAACACAGGGGTACAATCTAACGTGAAGAGACAAAGTGGGGAAATTCGGCAAGGCCCGCCTGTTTAGATTCTTCTTGGTCTCTTTGTGCAGCATTTCTTCCTTCCTGGTATGGGGTGGGACCCCTCAGGAATAAGGGATTTAATTTCTTTATGGCCAGCTTTTACACAGAAAGGTTGGGAAAGGTTGGAGTAATATTTTTACTGAAACCTTTACTCCAATTTTTATGGCTGGCTTTGGGGAAAAGGGGTTCTGGTTTCTATGACCTGTCTTGGTGAAGAGGAATTCTAGTTTCCGTGGCTTGCCTCAGGGGAGAAGGAAGGGTGAGAGATGGAAAGGCAGGGGAGGATGAGAAAGAAACTTTGCCTCTGAGTCCTTCATTTTGGGGTATCATTTTCTGAGCCCCAAGGACCAAGGCTAAAGGAGTAGCCCTTATCAAAAACATTGCTGATCTTCCTGGTGGAGGGAAAACAGAGACAAGGGGAACCCATAATGGCTCGTATAGTTTATGCTATGACTAGACTTCACTCTATTTACGTTCCATCAATCAAAGCAAGTCATATGGCTAAACTTCATAGTGGGGTAGGAAGGACAAAATTCCTGCAGGAGTGGCCAGAAGTGGAGGTGATTGGTATGGAGGAACATTGAATGCTTTGATGTTAATGCACTCTGCCACAAATATTCCTGGAGATTTTAATTCTATAGATAAGGTCCATGGAAGCTGTACTTGTAACAGCTCTCTAGAATTTTGATGAGTCCGATGAAGGTACCCCATGCCTGGGAATCAATACATTAAAATATAAAAAAATTATTACAATCTATGGTATTGACATATAAGTAGAGTGACTATAGGTCCTGATCAGCTAAGGCTTACTTGTTGGTCCAATATAATTATCAAGAGTACTCCCCTTTGTTCTCAAGAGTATCCCAGTCCATGTGATAAAGAATATAGTCACCCTAAGAATAAGTCATCCTTTATGAAAGTAGGGAAGATGGACACAGTCTTCACATGGACTTAGCTCAGTATATTCAGCATTCCCCTAGGCCAATCATATAAACAGGATCTCTTTGGCTCTGATGGATGGTATTCCAGAGAAATGCTCGTCCTGATCTTTTAAAATTCACTGACACACTTTTTCTAGGAGTCTCTAGAGGGAGCTCACATCTGCTAAAAAAGACAGCTGTTTTTGTCCTTTTAATTATGTATTAAAGGCAAAACAGTTGTTGTGCCTCTTTATTGGACTGTTTCCCACCAGGTACCTCTCTACTCACCTGTCCCTGCAGAATAAATATATGTTTTACCCCACTGATGTCAGGGTTGACAACCACACTTGCATTGATCCGTGAAAGAAAAATGAGTGGAAATAATGGTGCCTCTTTAGAACAGACATTTCAAGCATTATCACATGGTTCTGCCTTCTCTCTTTTCCCTCTACCTTAAGAATAGAATGTGTCAAATGAAAGTTGCTCCCTCAACATTGGTCCCAGAATGAAGATGTGGAACAAGGTGTAACTAAACCTCAAAGGACATGTAACCTAAGGAACACATGGACTTTTTGAGTAAACTGCTGTGATTCTGGGATTACTTGATAATGTAGCATAATTTAGCCTCTGTATTGAAGATCTAATTGGGATTAATCTTTCTAGACTAAGTAATACAATATAAAAATTCAAGAAGCAAACCTACAGGGAATACAAAAGCAAATTTAAAAATTCAGGAAATATTAACTGACAGATGAAATTGAAAAAAGTTTGGTTTAAAGCATGTGAAAAAGACAATGAACAAAGTTAAAAGATATGTCCTAAGTTTAATAATCTAAGAACACTTAATATAACCTTACTTCTAAGCTTCCATTAAACATTTGTAGAAATTTATCTTAGTGCACAAAAGCTGTTTCAATACATTTAAATAAATAAAAATATATTAATTATATGAAAAATAGAAATTACAAAAGTAAAAATTTAAAATCTCCAGCCACCTGGAATTTTTTAAATGCTATCTTAATTATTCCTGTGTAAAGCAGGATATTAAAACTAATAATGCAGACTATCTAGAAAATGAAAACAAACTCTATACACCAAAACTAATAACTTGTCTAAAACTATATTTGTAGAAAAATTAATAGCTCTAAGTACTCACATTTACTAAAATATGGAATATTGAATTAAGTACTTAACCCAGGTAGATGAAAAATAAAAAAAGAAGTCCCAAGACCAATAGAGAAAATCAATGAAAAAGTTGGTTCTTTGAAAGATCAATAATATTGATAGGTGGCTAGCCATGTTAATTATGAAAAAGAGGACACAATATTAAAAATAAAAGAGAAGACATAATTCCAGAGCCTATAGACATTACAAGGATACCAAGGAATATAATATGAACAACTCTTATGACCACAAATTTGATAACCTAGATGAAATAGCTAATTCCCTGAAAGATATAATCTGCCACAACTCACACAAGAAGAAATAGATATGAATATTTGAATATCTATTTGATATATTTGAATGTTATATATGTATTTAATAGGCCTGAATAGGCCTGTATATATATTAAAGAAATTGAATTAATAAATAATAACTTTCCAAAACAGAAAGCACCAGGCCTAAGAGAAAACACTCGTGAATTTTACCAAACATTTAAGGTAGAAATCATACCAATTCTCTACAATCTCTTTTAGAATATAGAAGCAGGAGGAATAGTTCTTAACTCATTCTATGAGCCCAGCATTACCCTAATACCAAAATCTGAAGAAGAAATTACAAGAACAGAAAATTACAGGTCAATATCTCTCATGAACATAGATGCAATAATCCTCAACACAATGTTAACAAATTGAATCCAACAATGTATAAAAAGAATTACATACCACAACTAAGTGGGATTTATTCCAGATATGCAAGGCTGGTTCAACCCATGAAAATCAATTAATGTAATCTATCACATTGACAGGCTAAAAGAGAAAAATCACAAAATCATATCAATAGATGAAAGAATTTGACAAAATCCAAAACCCATTCATGATAAAAACTCTCAGTAAGCTAGGAATCAAGGGGAGCTTCATAAACTTGATAAAGAATATTCATGAAACCCTACAGCTCACATAATAGTCAAGAGAAACAAATTTTTCTGCTGAGATCAGGAACAAAGATATCATTTTTCAGCACTGCTTTTCAACAAAGCTAGACCTGTGGGAAGGTCTAGCTAATGAAATAACACAAGACAAGGAAATAAATAGTATGCTGATTAGGAAGGAAGAAATAAAACTGTCTTTGTTTGCAAATGATATGATCACCTATGCAGAAAATCTAAAAGAATCAACAAAAACAAACTCCTGGAATTAATAAGTGATTATAGCAAGGTTGCAGGATATAAAAATCAATATTCAAAAGTCAATCACTTTCCTATATACCAGCAATAAACAAGTGGAATTTGAAATTATAAAACAATAAAATTTATATTAGCACCTTCCCCCATGCCCCAGAAAGTGAAATACTTAGCTATAAATATAACAAAATATGTATAAAATCTATATGAGGAAAACTACAAAACTCTGAAGAAATAAAAATCAAATAAATAAGAGATATTCCATGTTCATCAGTAGGAAGATCAATAATATTAAGGTGTCAGTTCTTAACTTGATCTATAGATTCAATGCAGTCCCAGCCCAAATCCCAGCAATTTATTTTGTGGATACTGACAAATGGATTCTAAAGTTTATATGGAGAAGCAAAAGACCCAGAATAGTCAATGCAATAAAGAAGGAAAGAACAAAGTTGGAGGACTGACACTACCTTACATCAAGACTTACTAGAAAGCTATAGTAATCAAGACAGTGTGGTACTGGCAAAATAGTAAGCAAATAGATCAATGGGACAGAATAGAGAGCCCCCAAATAGACCCACTTAAATGTAGTCCAATGATCTTTGACAAAGGAACAAAGTCAATACCATGGTGAAAAGATCATCTTTTCAACAAATTGTGCTGGAACAACTAGATATCCATAAAATAATTGAATCTAGACACAGACCTTACCCTTCACAAATATTAACTCAAAATGGATCATAGACTATTTTGTGAATGTAAAATGCAAAACTAAAGCTCCTAGCAGATAAAATAGGAGAAATCCAAATGACCTAGCATTTGGTGATGACTTTTTAGAAACAACACCAAAGGTATGAACCACGAAAGGAACAATTGACAAGCTGGACTTTATTATAATTAAAAATGTCTGCAAAATTTTGCAAAAGACACTGTCAAGAGAATGAAAGGACAAATCAAAGACTGGAAGAATATTTGCAATGGACATAATTGACAAAGAATGGCTATCCAAAGTATATAAAGAAATATTAAAACTCAAGAAGAAAACAAACGACACAATTAAAATAGGGGCCAAACACCTGAACAAACACCTCACCAAATAAGATATACAGACTGCAAATTAGTATATGAAAAGATGCTCCACAGCAAATGTTATCAGGGAGAAGCAAATAAAGACAGCAATGTGATATATCACCACACACCTATTAAAATGGCCAAAATCCACAACACTGACAACACTAGATACCGGTGAGGATGTGGAGTAACAGGAACTCTCATTCATTGCTGGTGGGAATGCAAAATGGAACAGCCACTTTGGAAGACAGTTTGGCAGTTTCTTACAGTACTAAACATACTCTTACCATGCGATCTAGCAATCACACTATATGATATTTACCCAAATGAGTTGAAAACTTATGTTCACACAAAAACCTGCACGTGGATGTGTATTGCAGATGTATTCATAATTGCCAAAAATGTCCTTTAATAAGTGAGTGGATAAATAAACTGTGGTATAATGGGATATTATTCAGCACTTATAAAAAGAGCTATCAAGCCCTAAAAAGACATGGAGAAAACTTAAATGCATATTACCAAGTGAAAAAAGGCAATCTGCAAAGGCTACATACTATTTGATTCCAATGATATGACATTCTGGAAAAAACAAAGCTAAAACAAGATAGTGATGGGTGGTTTCCCGGGGTGAGAGGGTGTGTGGTGGGGGAGGGGATGAATAGGCAGAGCACAGAGGATTTTTAGGGCAGTGAAACTACTCTCTGTATAATGGTGGATACATGTCATTATAACTTTGCCCAAACGTATACAATGTACCACATCTAAGAGTGAACCCTAATGTAAACTATGGACTTTGGGGGATTAGGATTTGGTAATGTAGGTTCACCAATTGTAACAAATGTAACACTCTGGTGAGAGATGTTGACAAAGGAGGAGGCTACACATACGTGAGGATGAAAGTATATGGGAAATCTCTGTACCTTCTGTTCAATTTTGCTGTGAACCTAAAACTGCTCTAAAAAATCGTCTTTCAAAAAATGGGAGTAATTACAGTACTGAGTCTCAAGTATCAAAAGAGATACCAAAGTGGTCATGATGTATATGCTGTAAAATGACAGAGAAATGTTGGTATGGGTATTGGAACTTCATGATTTTCTCTGGGATAAGTGTTGCAAGCAAAAGAGATAGGATTGAGGTGACCAGATCCCTTTTACCAGGAAGACCTTCCCTGCCAGCTGTGAATATTCTCACCTCTGAGCCCTACAGCCTATTTTACACACTTTTCCAACTCATTTGCATGAAAGACATCTCTCTTCCTGTGACATCATTATACTGAAAGACAGGGAAGAGGATTTTTTAGCATCAACCACGATGTGCCAAGAACTGCGATGACTATTTTAAATATATTACCTTAGAAAATAACCCCATATTTCTGTTAGAAAAATTTGTATACGACTTTGAAATGGAAAGAAAAAGAGATGATGTTGGGTGTCTTTTCTAGTGCACTCTGCAGTTTATCTGATTCTGTTGGGGCCTGTGCCTTTCATGGTCTTTAGCTGTTTTATAGCTCTGTAAGTTGCAGAAAACTGATATTAACACAAATGATACTTATCTTTAGAGATGCAAATAAAGTGCATCTGGTGGAGATGTAGTTGATTATTGCCCGATGATTATTGATCAGTTTTGCTGGTAAGGTATTTATAAATTTATATCAGTTTTCCTTTGCCTATATATGTTAATTCTTCGAATTCTCACCTTCAACTGGATCTTCCTGGTTTCCTCATTAGCTAAGGAGTTAAATAAAACCTTTCGCATGCAGTAAAAAAGGAAATGATTAAAACAGAAATATAAAAATTAGATAAACAGTAGCACTGACAAATGAAATCAAGAACTGGTATTTTAAAATAATAGTAATAATATAATAGAAAACCCTGTGGTAGTATAATGAAAAAATTAACAAAAATGTGGAACGATATTGCGTACTTTTGAATAGGAAGACTCAGCAGTTGAAAGATGTCAGCTGTCCCTAAGTTAAATTTGCAAATTCAGATGTTGTCCTATCAAAAAACCAACAGATGTTCAGTTGCTCTTATGTTTGTCTGTTTGAAATTTTAATTGTCTTATTTTAAATTCATCTGGAAAAGCAAACAAGTAATAGCCTAGAATAACCTGAAATAGAAGAATAATGATAGTGGAAGAGGTAAACAATTTTAAGACAGTATTAAGACACAGTAGGAGCCGAATACAGTGGCTTGCACCTGTAATCCTAGCTACTCAGAACGCTGAGGTGATTGCTTGAGGCCAGAAGTTCAAGAGCAGCCTTGGCAACAAAGAGAGACCCTAATCTCTTAAAATAAAAATTAGGCATATGTGGTGGTGTGTGCCTACAGTCCCAGTTACTTGGGAGGTAGAGCAGGAGGATCACTTGAGCCCAGGAGTTCAAGGCTGCAGTGAGCTATGGTAATGCCACTGTACTTTAGATTGGGGTGACAGAGCAAGACGCCTCTTAAAAAAAGAGAGAAAGAGACAGAATATTTATAACTGTATGATCTTAGCACAAAAAATTACACAGTCCAGAAACTGATTCAAGTACCTATTATAATTTGAAATACATTAAAAACATTTTTTACAACACTGAAGAAAAGCAGAGTTATTCAATAAATGGTGCTTGGTTAACTGATAGGAGTTTGGAAAAATAATAAAGGTAAACTTTTATTCCTTATTCTAAAATTAACTCCACATGGATTAAATATTTAAATATAAAACATGAAAATAAAAGTATTAGAACAAAATAATAGAGATTAAAAACATAATTATCTCGAGAGTGTGATCAAAACCTGTCTGTTAAAAAGGAACATTTGATACATTTTACCATATAAGAACTAAATGCATGGTAACCATCAATAGAATCAAAATAAAAAACGAACTGGGAGAATATTTACACAAAATCATATCAGAGGTAAAGGAATAACTCTTCTTAATATACAAAGAGATCTTACAAATTGTAAGTATACATTCCAGAACTTCCTAGAAAAAAATATTGAGATGACCCAAAAAGTTACAAAAAAAGGAAATACAAGGACCTGATACACATAGGAAGAAATGATGATTCTGATCACAAATTAACATACAGACACACTTAGGTGCTCAGAAGCCATTTAAATCACATCACTTTGGGAAATAATTTTTAAAAATCATTTTAGCAAGTGTGTGGAGAATCTGTTAGCAGAACAAAAATTTAGTTACAACTTTTTGCAGGGCATTATGGCAATAACTATCAAAATTTAAAATGTGTATCATTTTGTGATACAACAATTTTAATTCTAACAAGTCACCTTGTAAATATATACACGTGTATAAAATATATATGCAAAGATATTAATGGCAGCATTTAATTTATTTTATTTTTTAAATTGACAAATATTGTACATATTCATGGGGCACATGGTGATGTTTCAATACACATATAATATATAAGCATTTTTAATTTTAGTAATAAAATATAGAAAACAATCTCTAAGACCAAGCATGTGTGTGTGTGTAAGAAAGGTAGAAATTGAGAGAGATTGGAAGAGAATGAGTGTGGTGTTTAATTTTTAGTTTTATACTTTTGTTTTTGTCATTGTTTTTAAAACAAACTTGTTTTACTGATAAACAATAAACAAACCTACTTTAAAAATCTATGTCCATTCCAGAGAGAATTTGGATGGAGAATATAAATTAACGATAAAAAATTAAAAAGAGCTAGCATCTTGTTCTCTAAGGAACTTTCTTTTAACGTAGTTTTGAACTTCCATCAATATGAATGCATTTTTGTTGATGTGCTTTTCTGTATCATGGGCAAGTAAATTGCATAAGAATAGGCCATTTAGGCCCTGCTGGATTTCCCATAGCCTTTTCTGAAAAGTTTGCCTGAATGAATAGTAAGTCAAACAGCGGGGGCTGCAGAACCCAGGAAAATCACATAAAGGTTAAGGAAAATGACATTTTCTTCCTTTTATTTATGATCTTGAATCATCTTTTCAGGAGGTAAATCAGTCTTACAAAGCATCGAAGATAAGCAATGATTAGGTATTTAGAATTTTTGCAATAGCCATAGAAAAGGTACATATTTACATAAAATAGTACAGCATGTAGAGTCTTTGGTGTTTGCAAAAAAAATCCCTCATATGAAAGTGTCCAATACCAAGTTGCTTTCCCATCTCTCTACTCCTCATAAAATACACAAAATATATTAAAATATATTGTGAGATTTAGTTTTATATATTTCCTGACCTCATATTTAGTATGTCACATTCCCATATTAAAGTTGATGATTTTATTACCAATACAGCACATACATAATATTTGAATTTCAGACTTGAGATCCTCAATAAGAAGCATCATGAGTAAGATGATGTAAGTGAGGTGACAGGATTCTAAATGACCTTTAGTGTGTAAATAGAGAGAAATAAAAATTCTGCAAAATATCTCAGCTTATGATTTGAGCATGTTAGACATGTCCAATTTTCCTATTTTTGTGGAATTTGTCTCATAGTGATTTTCCATTAGGCATTTCAGAGCTGAAATAAACAACAGGCTCATGTGCTATCCCACTTTATGTCAAACTTTTACCGTAGTGAAACATCATTCTGTGCTCAGGAAATAGGAACGCATCTTCCTCAATTCAGTCTACAAGTGATGGCAAATGCTGTAAGAATCCATATTCAGTGAACATCCAATTACAACAAATGATTGACATAGTAGGCTATTGAGAAAACATTTCTGCCTCGTGCTTGCAAAAAGTCTTCAAAAATAACAGGGCAAATAGTTCCAGGTCTCTGTGACCTAAAAAGTCTAACGAAGCCAAAGAATTACTAGAGCATCTTAGAGAAACCTGAGGCCATTCAGCCTAATCATTTAGTGATGATGTCTTTGTTTTTAGGTCAGAGAAAAATGTGCCTTCTAGCTTAATATTTATTCAGCAGCACTCATTAATGTTGGTAGCACTGGCTGTGAGCCTTCTTCTACGTCCTGAATATTCTAGGGCAAGAACAGACTCTTCTGTTTAAATAAGTCTAAAAATTGAATTGTTTTGTGATGTCTTCAACTTCTAGGAAATTATAAAAGCCAAATATAATAATAAAGCAAAAGAGTGATGAAAACTCGATGACTGAAAAGCAGACATCACATTGACAATTAGACTGATAGCATGGGAAATAGAAGATAGGTTTCTTTTTTTATAGTTCAGCTTTTAAGAATCTATAAATGGCAAAATATGGTCATTTGAGAGCAGAGATACAGGAGAGAGAGAAGAAGGGAAGGAGGGAAGGAGAGGGAGAGACAGAGCCCAAACTTAAAAAAAGTTTACATTTTATAACATAGACCACCACAGACTATCATAATTAACCCTATACTTCCCTCTGGTGGTCAAATTTGAAAATGTATTTACAGATGAATTAAATGAAGATTAATATACAGTAATAACTAAAGGTAAGACAACCAGATACCTCATTTTGTGTGAAGATTCCATTTTAACCAACTACCTAACTCCAACATTTCCCCTAGTTATTAAAGTTGAATGACTCTTCTGTGGAGAGGTCCCAATTCGCATAAACTTTCCTAACATGTGGCAGGGACTATACATAGCAAGTTGTATTTCATGGTACTAATTATATACGTAGGATGTGGATATTCATTTATGCTATAATTTATGCAAAAATAATAGGAAAGAATATTTTCCTGGATTTCTTAAACTACTTAAATTTTAAGAAAGTAGTCTATGAATTATTTCATGATGTATTGTGTCATGCACTTTAAAATAAAAATTTTAGGAACACAGAGACATACATTATTAAGATTAAGATTCTAAAATCAGAATATCAGATTTTAGAATCTTAATCCAGCAACCAAACCTGGTGTTTTTGGGTGGTTACTGTTTGTGAATGTCAGATACATCTTACAGGTACTGATATTTTTTTTTTTCCTTAAGGGAGCAATGTATAATTCATTACAGCTTTAATAAATTTAATATTTTAAATTTCAAAATTACTTAGAATATTAATTTTTCTATTTAGAGAAAAACTAAAGCCTGCACCAACATGTTTTCCTTGGCTGCTTAGTTTTAATGTCATCCCTGATAATTTCATATGGGAGCCAATATAATTTATTTTTGTGAATGTACTCCTTGAGCCTCAAAGAAAAAAAACAAGAAAAAAAGAAAAACCTAAGTAATTTTATTTGGCTCCTTTTTTTATTCTAACTGTAAAATACTCTTTGAACCGAGGAAGATGTGACAGGAATTACAAGTTTTACCTTTGTTCTTTCTGACAACTAAAGAGTATTTAAAAGGGTTTCCCATTAAACTTTTTAAGTTTTATCCACTGTATTAATTGGATGTGAGCTATTATGAAAATGATTACAGAGTGAAAGTGTAAATTGTCTTGAATTTGAATGTCTTTTAATTAAGCAGTTTCTCAAACTGCTTCTTTCAGTGTGAAACCTAAATAGGAGACACAAGATAATTTTAGCACCAAATGAGGCCTTTAGGATTTAGCTTACTTGCATTCATTCAGTAAATATTCATTGTACTTATTTTGCAAAAATGTTGTATTGGCTACCTAAATCAGTGAAGGGAAACTACAAAGGTAAATCAGAAATGTACTGTGAGATCAAGAAGCCCGTAGCTCTGAGGAGAGACAAAAGTGTCTAAAATAATGAGAGTGTGAAGTGGAGAAATGGGCTAGTATTGTAGGAGACAGACAAGAGGAGGAGAAGCTTAATCAAGGAAATGACACCATAAGCTGAATGTAGGCTCCTTTTGAGGGGTAGCGTAGAGCCCTGTCTCTGTAGTTCTTTCTCTATCCTCCATGCCTCACACATGGTTGACATTTCATGAATATTAAATGATTAGAGTAGAAAATCCTGACTCAAAGTTCTGATTTTGTCACATACTTGCAGCATGGCTAAAAATAAGGCACTACAATTTACTGAGGCTCAGTTCCCTTACCTACAAAATAATATGGATTTTAAAATGAATATCAAATGCATTTACACATGTGAAATGCTTAACTTGAACATCTTTATAACACAGATGATACTGTTGAATTAAGGTAAATGGATGTGGATTTTACTAGTCCATATGTGAGTAGGGAACCCGCACAAAAAATGTGGACCTATTTTGAGAGTCACATGTTAAAATGAGACTTTTCCTATTTTATCAGTATTGGGGGCCTCAATTTAAAGCGTTGTAAGTGCCCACACTTAGGATTTCAAAAAAGAGAGTGCCAGGCCACCTTATCAGTTTGCAAAGGGGTGACTCTATTCAATGTTTGGTGGGTCCCGTCCCATTATGTACTTCAGGAGTGGGATACAAATATGTAAGGTGAACCTTGAAGCAACTTGGGATACTATTAAATTATACCACTAGAATGTCTCCATAGTGACAAAGTTTTATGTTTGCATAAATTTAGAATTCCTTTAGTTGAAAACAACCATTTTACAAATATGAGGAAGTTAAAATACCTCACAAAGTAATGTTACCTACCAGAGGCAAGGCCAGGAGGATCATCGAAGTTTTTTGGCTCTCAGATCAGTAATCTCATTACCATATCCAATGCATCTCTGTTTGCAAATTTGAAACCTTCTAAGACTCTAAGAGTGGGAATGATATGAGAAAACACCAGTTTGTTTCTTTGTATAAATCCAGAACAAAAGTTGTATTCCTTCTAATGTACCCAAAGAAGAGGAAAAAGAGGGGTAGCAATGAGATAAATAAGTGATATGTGGAGTTTGAAACTTTCTAAGTTTCTATAAGATGTAAAAATATTACATTTACATTGAAAATTATTATTAAAAAAGTCATGTAACTCTGTATTTCCATTGCTAATGTAACAAATTATCACAAATTTAGTGGCTTAAAACAATACAAATGTTGTTTCTTATAGTTCTGTAGGTTAGGAGCCTGACATGGGCTAACACCAAGGGACTGGCAAGGCTGTGCCTTTCTGGAGGCTGTAGGGGTGAATCTGTTTCCTTCTCTTTTCCAGCTTCTAGAAGCTGCCCACATTTCTTGGCCTGTGTTCCCTTCCCTCATCTTGAAAGTCAACAATGCATGGGTTTAGTCCTTCTCATAGGACATCACTCTGACCTCCATTTCCATCACCTTATCTCCTTCTCAACTCTGATTCTTCTCTTCCACTTTCAAGGACCCTTGAGATTACACTGTGACCACCTGGATAATCCAGGGTCTTCCAGTCTTAAGGTCCTTATTGACACATGCAAGTCCCTCTTGCCAAGTGAGGTGAACACTTCTTTTTGTGTATGTGATGAATAATATATATATATAATATATATAATACTACATAATATATACATAATACTATATATAATATATATAATACTATATATAATACTATATATAATACTATATATTATATATAATACTATATATAATATATAATACTATATATAATATATATAATACTATATATAATATATAATACTATATATAATATATATAATACTATATATAATATATAATACTATATATAATATATATAATACTATATATAATATATAATACTATATATAATATATATAATACTATATATAATATATAATACTATATATAATATATATAATACTATATATAATATATAATACTATATATAATATATATAATACTATAGATATATACACTAGTCTATTTTATCATTTACTACCGTAAAATATACATAAATCTATTATAAAATCTCCGTTGCTATTGTGGTGAGCTCTAGCGTTGCGACTATCCACTTAAAGCACCATGTGGTGCTAATCATCTCCAGGTGAGTCAACTGTCTCTCCAGTCAATTGCCTCTGGTGGTTATGATCTCTTGCAGTTCCTGTATATTTTTCATCATTTTTTATTGCAATAAAATTAAACCTTGTAAACCTTGGATAACACCATGGGACCCATATGGACCTCGACTAGTGATGCTGGAAGTGCTCCCAAGAAGCAGAGAAAAGTCATGACATTATTAGAAAAAGCTGAATTGCTTGATATGTACCACAGATTGAGGTCTGCAGATGCAGTTGCCCAACATTTCAGAAGATTCTTCTTGCAATCAGATGATGCAAACTTATGGTATCGGTAAATATAGTATAATACTGTAAATGTATTTTCTCTTCCCTATAATTTTCTTAACAATATTTTCTTTTCTCTAGATTACTGTAAAAATATAGTATATAATATATATAACATACAAAATATGTGTTAACTGTTTATGTTACAGGTAAGGTTTCTGGTCAACAGTAGACTATTAGTAGCTAAATTCCTTTTTTTTTTACATAAATACGTATTTATAGAAAGTATTTATTACTTTGGTTACTAAAAATTTACCTAAATGTTATGCTATGCACATGGTTCCACAACTTGCCTTTACGCAATGTGTTTTTTAGCTCTATCAATATTGAGACTTATAAGTCTAGTAGTTAGTAACTCTGAATATAAATAAATCAGTATGTCAGGAATAAAAGAAGATTTTGTAGTTCGGGGAGATGCTGTGCTATTAATCCTTTAAAATTTATTAGGATTTTCTGTTCCTATGGTAGAAAATTTCCATAATCTGATACAAGCCTTATTGGCTGCTACTTCTACTGAATGTAGTTCTGTCTCTGTACACAAGATGGCAGGATCTCTTTAGTACAGATGGGGTTGCCATTTGACAGAAAGCCAGGCCAGAAAAATGTAAAATAAACACTAGAATTTAGCCATACTAGATTAGGAGAAATAAAACCTAAAAGTCTCAAGAGAGTTAGGCATTCACTTCCTAAGGTGAGCAAACAAAATGCAGATTTGGCAACTGCCCATTTAGACTAGCCTCTAAATAATAAGTTGCTTTTTGGTAACCATTTTGAAAAAGCTTGTTTGGTACCAGAAACTATATACTATATAGAGGTCTGTGTGTGTGTGTATATATACACACACACACACACACACACACACACACACACACACACACATATATATAAATGTGTATATATATATACACACACATATATATAAATGTGTATATATATACACACATATATAAATGTGTATATATATACATATATAAATGTGTGTATATATATATACAAAGTATATATAGGGATATATATAAATTATATAGAGGTAATAAGACTGATTTTTCATTTTTCTTCTGAAACTGCTTTACTTCACATTTAAAATTTTGCATATAAATTGGAAATCCCAACTAAAGAATAATTAAAAGTTATCCAATATAAAATTCTAAAATATATTTAAATGAGAAAAATAGCTTTTGTATCACAATTTATTCAAAGTTTATCAGCATAATTTAATGACATTTCAGGTTAAAATTAAAATGAGTATAAGAAGTTATAGTCAAATATTTATTTGTATTAGCAATTCAATAAACAAACAGAAGCTCCATCACTTTTAAGTAGTATTCATTTAGAGGAGTAATAATTGTTTGGATGGGAAGGTGGTGAGCTTAGTAGCTCTTACATGGTGTTCTCCAATCTACAAAAACTTTTTTCCCCTTCAAACAACACATAATAATAAAGCTAACAATTATATAGTGTTTGCCAAGTACCAGATACTCATCAACATACTTTACAGATTTGAACTAATTTCAACCACACAATAACCATGTGAGGTAGATGCCATCATAAACTCCATTTTGTTAATGAGGGGCCTGACACAGAGGGCTTAGGAACTTGTCCAAAGCCACACAAATAAAATGAAGCAGAGGTGGGATTTAACCCATGCACATTGACTTCAGAGTATACACACAAATAAAAAGCTGTTTTGTTTCTCCTGCATAGCAAAGTAATAAACAGTACTATCAGGTGGGAATGGGTAAAATTTACATTTGAATAGGGGTTTCGTTATCTCAAAGTTTTGGAAACAATTGCAACAAACATTGTACTGGCAGTTCTGTTTCAGTTTTCTTTTTTCTTACAAATTTAAATTAAATTTCTTTTTTAGAGATGGGACCTTGCTATGTTGCCTAGGCTGGCAGATTTGCACTCTTGGGCTAAGTGACCCTCCTACTTCAGCCGCCCCAGCAGCTGGGATTATAGTAGTGCGCCACCCTGCCTGGCTTAATTTCAGTTTTCTTAAAAAAAAAAAAAAAAAAAAAAAACTAGCATGCCTGTCATTTTATTTTGCCTACTGGAAACCACCAGTTAAAACAAGAAGAAAACAGGAAACCTCCAGTTAAGAGGGTTTTAGAAAAGTGTATTTCAGAAAAAAAAGTTGTACATTCAAAAGAGTGGTTGTTTCCTTTAAATTGTTACTGATAACCTACAATCTCACTTTAGCAACATATCTGTGTGTATTTATGTACGTGAATATACTTGTGTATGTATGTATTATGTTATGCACATTTTCTCAATGATGAAAAATTTTTGTTCTCTGAGAATGGACTTTATCTGGCGATAATCAAAAGCATTATGAGCTAAAATGGGTAGATGATGTAGAGTTGGGCGATATTAACTTGAAATAAACAGAAGTTTTGGCTAACAATAATAAAATGGCCTTTTTAACATTTAGTTACCAACTATGCATTTACTTTATGAAACAAAGGATCCAAATATCTTTGGAATCTAATTCCATTAGAAGGTAAGGCTCTCCCTCCTCGCCCAAGGTATTTCTGCCTCACTTCACTGGGGTAATAGGTGAGAAATATGGACTGTAACTTCTTTGTATATGGACTCTATACTGTGTTCTAGATTATGCAACACTAGGTACATACTGTGGTAAAAAGAGCATCCTCGTATGTAATGCTATAATAATGTAGACATTTTAGTCACCCAGTAAAGTACTACCTTCATAAACAGTTCATCAGAAGAAATTTTCATTTTTATACTTGAATGAAACTCAATCTTCCTTCATTCTCACATTTTTGGGGAAAAAAATCATTTACCCACTCCAACAGTGGCTGAGATCCATTTGCTATATGAAAATGCACTCTTTTCTCAGCATGATCTCTCCGCTGTCCGATAGACGCGTTCTCTTAACTACTGCTGCCACCTGCTGGTTTTGTCATTGTTAGATTTTAGAAAAAGCAGTGCATAAGGCTCCAGTCAAGATGATGCAAAATGCAAGTATCATTAATAGGTAGTTTTGTAGACCCTGAATAAGAAAAAAGAATAACAGTGATGAATAAGGCCTGAATCAATTACACAAAATGGACAGACTCTCAAGATTGCTAGGGACCTAACCATCTGCTCTAGCCGCCTGTACCCTTTTTTGCTACCCCTTCCAAGTAATCAGGTTCTCACAAACCCCTGCAGAGCCTTATGAATTCACCCATTCCGTAAATAAATGTGGGCACCCACTAAGCTTCAACATGTACCTTTATGCAAACAATCATATAATATGGGAGACAGGAAGTAATCACAGAAAAGAATGTTATTATGTGAGAGGGGTGTTAATAATAAAGCAAACCACCATGGTTGTTTGAGAGTGTGTTACAGGAATCTTAATGATGCTGGTTTGGAGGGTGGGAAGTGGAGCTTCTAACTACAAGTATCAGTGAATTGGCCAGGGGACTAGGGCAGCAAGTAGAGATTCCAGGTAGAAGGAATTTTATGTGCACAGTCCTGTTGTAAGAAAAAGCAAAATATTTCCCAGGGACTGAAAGGAGGTTAGTGTGACTGAAGCAATCAAAGTTAAGTGGAGCAAGATGAGGTTGGAAGACCATGGACCTGAGCACTTGTTATGCTTTGGGTTCTATTTTTTTTTCTTTTTTTCTTTTTTTTTTTTTTTGAGACGGAGTCTCCCTCCGTCACCTAGGCTGGAGTTCAGTGGCGTGATCTTGGCTCACTGCAACCTCCGCCTCCTGGGTTCAGGTGATTCTCCTGTCTCAGCCTCCCAAGTAGCTGGGATTACAGGCATGCATCACCAAGCCCAGTGAATTTTTGTATTTTTAGTAGAGGCAGAGTTTTACCATGTTGGCCAGGCTGGTCTTGAACTCCTGACCTCAAGTGATCTGCCCACCTCTGCCTCTCAAATTTGGGTCCTGTTTTTCCAAGCAAAGAGGAAGACATTAAAAAGACAGGCAGCTGGCTGTGTTAAAATTTCAGACTTGCATTGTGTAAAGCTCACACTTTTCTGCAGGATGGCAGACAGATTGGAGGGGCCAGAATGGATGCAAGGAGACCAATTAGGAGGTGACTGTAGTCTCCCAGGGAAAAGATGATGATGGGTAGATGGAGAGATGGAGATGGATCTGAAGGGTGAGGAAGAAATGCAGAGAGGGTGTGAAGAATGACTTCGTTGGACTTGCTCAGTTATGTATGGGGTGCCTGGTCTTAAAGATGGGAACTACTGAGAACCACTTCTCTGTGTTGCCCAGCCCATCTTTGAATTAACAACGAAATATCTTCCTGTGTTAAGTAGAAATATTTCATTTCCTATAAGTTCCATCACTAGGAGTACAGATAGATCGATTTTAATATCTCTCCCACAAGATAAATCCTCAATCATTGAAAAATAACTCTCATATATCCCTGGAGGCATCTCTTTTCCTGGTCAGTATTTTAGCTCTTTGACCATTTTTCATATGGAATGGTTTCAAGCTTCCTTATTGTCCTGGCTGCTCCCCCTGAATGACTGCCATTTTGTCTATATCCTTCTTTATGTTTAAAGAGTCTAATTTATTTATTTTTTTAGTGAAAGTACAGAGACTTGTTGCAAAGTGAAAAGTACACACTCAAGAAAGTGGAGTGCGGACATACTCAAGAGAGAATCATACAAGGGGGTTGGGGTTCCTATTTTCATCATTTCTTTAGCCGAGGGGTGGAATATTCATGAAGATTCCTGGAAAAAGGTAACAATTTCTCAGAACTGTGGTGTCACTCATTTTTACACCAAATATGGGTGGTCCCAGAACTGTCATGGTGCTGGTGGGTGTGTGATTTGTATGTTAATGAGTGTATAATGAGGTCCTAGGTGAAACCTAGGGCAAATCCAGCACCATGTTGGGTTCAATTGGTCTTAGCCAGCTTGATCCACATGCTGTTTTTCAGGGTCTTATCAGCCCATGGCCTCTGCAGCTATTTCAAGTTTCCTTTTGCTAGTCATGTGAAACTGCTGCCTGGGATTTTCCTAATCTGTGACCACCCTGTATTATTCCTGTCTCATCCCCCCCACTTAAAGATTTCTATCCCTTATCCTTAAGGCTTGATGTGGGAGGAAGTCAGTCTTCTGTATCTACTTCCTGCTGATTAAGGGCATTGGCTCTGCCAATGAGGGCATGGCAATCTCTGGCTGCCTGGTCTAAGGGTCCCAAGGGTGGGTCATCAGGAGAGTCTGAATCCAAGGCGGAAGACTCCAGTATTCTAAGGGAAGGTTTGAACATTACAAAGTAAAACAAGACTAGCACCTCTCTAATTTTAGATACATCTAAGATTACAATCAGATAATAACACTATTTAATAATACTATTAGATCCTTCTTAAAAGGAAAAATAACAATGGTTCATGGGTAAGTCATTGTAGAAGACACATAAGGGTTCTGGAAAAAGAAAAAAGGAATGGAGAGGAAGCAACTCTAGGCAGCAGTTGGTATCCTGCCAGCTTCAAATCTGTAGGGAATAGGGCTGGTGTCCTCCCTCTCTGGTGAAAATTCTGGCCACTGAGGTCCAACAGGTTAATAGCCTCACACTACCCAAATTTGGGCAAAACTTCAGGAAAGGTAGTGGGAATAGAATGCTGTGTTTTTGGTGCAAGAGTTGACTGACTTGTTGGGGGGAGTGGGTTCATAAAAGCAGGACCCTGGGCTGTTAGAGGCTAATCCTCAGGGCTAATCTGATTCATGAGTATCTCCCCTAATGCTCACTCAAGGACTCAGTGAAGAACATGCACCAAACTTGGGTTCCTACAGCCAGGCCATGCAAAGTGTAGGCTTAGGGAGACTCATTTCCCCCAGCATAGATGCAAGGGGTCAGAGGGTAGAGGGTGGTTCTGTCTTTGCTGCCTTGCAGCCAGGTCAGCTTTGAGGGAAACCCAGAAAGGGAAGTTCTAACTGGGCTCCCACAGGAAACAGGGTTGGGGCAGGATAGACGGGTTGACAGTAGGAACACGTGGCTCTCCTGGCTCCACAGTGAAATTCTCACTTCAAAGAGTGGACTTTTGTCTGGTTTCATTTTGCCTACTTCCCTCACACTTCCTTAAAGGTCTTGTGTTTCTAGTTTACTGGAAGAATGCAGAGATCAGAGGTAAATTTGTGTAATAAATCTGAACAGAACAGAAACAAAGTCCAGGATGGAGGGAATGTGAAAACTGCCAAGGAAAGGTCTTTTGTATTATTAGTTCGTAAGATTAATGCTAACTAATATGTAACTATATATATATATATATATATATATATATATATATGTTATGTATTAATTAACAAAATCAAATAATTATGTTACTAACTAAATTATATATATATGTTCCCTTTCTTCAACTTAAAGAATCAGAGTAGATAAATTTGCCTCTGTTTGATGACCAGAGATAGGTCTTTGCAAGTTAGGTTGGGGCCAGTTGAATTGTCTGATTCAGTGTGATCCTTAGCACTAACAGAAGCCACTTTAATCCCAAATTCTACAAATAGAAGCACCCGAAAACCTTGCCAAGTGCAGAACAGCTTATTTAAACACACACACACACACACACACACACACACACACACACACACACACCTGGCAGTAGGCTTTGGATTTCCCAGCACCTTTTTTTTTCTTAATTTTTAAGACTGCAATTCTCACCTAGATACTGGTACTAATGCAGAATAGGTATTCCATAAACATTTGTTCAAACAACAAATACACTAAGGTGATTTCCACGTATATTTTGTGAATTTGAAATTGATGCAATTACTTAAATTAAAAAATGGGTCTTCAGTTACAAGCACTCTACAATCTAATTACGTGAATACATTGCTAAGCGCTATTTTATTACCTATGTAGACAGAAGAATAATGTTCTCAGGGAATGAAAAATTTTTTTCCCCTTCAATGTTAAGATTTTGCTAAAACTGTCCAGTCTCCTAGAGAAAAAGACTAATTATAGTTGGGCAACAGCAATGGTTTTCCTTCATCAAAGGTGGATGTTAACTCTTGGAAAGAGCACACTAACATTCTTCCCAAAGCAGAAAGTTTTTTAACTTGGATTTCTACTAAGATAATAGATCATCTCATTCTTCACCAGGGAGTAGCTTACTGACCTATACATTGTTGTGGTAGTAACTGCCTGTGTTGGCATTACTGTAGACATACTGACTAAAGTGTGTTGGTAAAAATATAATTTATATCTAGCTTAAAGATTTAATAATCTAAAATGAATTTCCCAATGAGTAACAGATATCAGATATAAAAGAATATCAGGGCCGGGCACGGTGGCTCACGCCTGTAATCCCAGCACTTTGGGAGGCCGAGGCGGGCAGATCACAAGATCAGGAGTTCGAGACAAGCCTGGCCAACACTGTGAAACCCCGTCTCTACTAAAAATACAAAAATTAGCTGGGCGTGGTGGCGGGCTTCTGTAATCCCAGCTACTCGGGAGGCTGAGGCAGGAGAATCGCTTGAACCCAGGAGGTGGAGTTTGCAGTGAGCCGAGATCGCATCACTCCACTCCACCGTGGGCAACAGAGCGAGACTCCATCTCAAAAAACAAACAAACAAAAAAGAGTATCAGAAGTATGAAAACATCCAACTGATGCACTGATGGCATTAAAACTAAATGGAATCATTAAAGTCCTTCACACAAAAGGTGCTTGGCTCTCAGCTTTATTCCTCGCAGCTGTAGGTTGTAGACTTTTAAATATGCGTCTTCAAGGACTGCTTTAAGATATATAACTGACAGTACCTATGAGTCCTGCAGATAACAGGTTTGCTTTTGTTTTCTTCTTTAGAGTTTAGGGGTTTTTGTCCTGTTTCTACAAAAATACTTTAAAAATTATTCTTATGATATTTAGGCTTTAGTGTTCAGTTGATGATGCTTTTCTAAACTGATTGGCATGTAAGTATTTAAAATTTTTCTTTAAATCAGCTGTCAAGAGGCAATTAGGTGTCTGCATTGAATAAGTACCATTGGACATCTGTTAAATTTTGCTTGTAGATGACATATAAGATTTTTTGTTTATTTATTTATGTGGTTAGTTATTTTGAGACAGAGTCTAGCTCTGTCACCCAGGCCAGAGTGCAATCTTGGCTCACTGCAATCTCCACTTTCCAGGTTCAAGCCATCTTCCCATCTCAGCCTCCCAAACAGCTGGGACTAGAGGCATGCACCACCACAGCAGGTTAATTTTTGTATTTTTGTAGAGACAGGGTTTTGCCATGTCACCCTGGCTGGTCTTGAACTCCTGAGCTCAAGTGATCTGGCCACCTTGGCTTGCCAAAGTGCTGGGACTACAGGCATAAGCCACCATGCCTGGCCCCAGGTTTTTTTTTTTTTTTTTTTTTTAATTCTTTGCTTTCAGCTTGGCCCTCTCTCTTCTTTTAATACTTGTAATCTTATCTTAGTCATTTTTTTAAAACAGAAAAGAGCAAACAGTCATTTTCTTAAGTTTAGAAATCCTTATTTTATAAGAAAACTGGCCTAGCTAATCTAAATTGCACATTTCAGAAATATGGTATATGTGCTGTCATGCTTTTTTTTTTTTTTGCCTATTTTTACATAAATAATTAGCCAAACTTTAGGACCTACTCTAAAAATTCTAGAAAGAGCTTCACTGGGATTTTACAGGAATTATACTGAACGTAATTAGAGAGAACTACCTAATTATAACAGCGAGATGTTCCATCAGAAATGTGACAAGTCTCCTATATTTGTTCTGATCTTCTATGTCCTCTAGTACATGTTTGTAGCAAAGTAAAATACAGTATTTTAAAAACCTGGCACATTACTTGTTAATTCTTTAATTAGATTTTATGTAATTTTTGTGGTTATTATTAATAGCATTTATTTTCCTCGTTTTAACTGGTTGTTGGTGATACATTGGAAGGCAACTGATTTCATATTTATTTTATATCTCAAGCCTTACTAAATGATCTTATTGGATGTTAAATTTTTCAGCTGATTCTTTTAAATTTTTATTTTAATTTTTAATTTTTGTCACCAATAAATTGAAATCACAATGTGTACATTTTTTAAAAATGTAATCTGCAAATTATAATTTTCTTATTTCTTTTCCTATATTTATTCATTTCATTTCTTATTCTGGTGTTTCCAAACTAGCTAGATCTATAGGAAATATCGTATAATAGTATGGAGAAATCCTTGACTTCCAATATATGGAGAACTCTTATGTTTCATGAAACTCAGGTATATAATTGCTATTTTGTTTTGATAGACATACTGTACCACTAAAGCTTCCTTTTATTTCTAGCTTATTAAGAGGTTAGTATAGTATTATCACGTCCTTTTCATATTTGATATGGTAGAGTAAATGATATTAATTAATTTATGTATTATGAACGATCCTTGCATTCCTGAATTAAACCCTATTGGGTCATAGTATATTAATCTTAAAAGTTACTTTTCTATTCAGTCTGATGTGTCTTTTTAAAGATGTCTTTACCAAAAACAAAACAAAACATTCCTCACTGTTTTTCAATTAATACTAGGCTTTTTGGTTAGGGATTCTCTTTGAATAGGGTTCTTATATGTAGTTAAGAGGATTTTCAATTCAGTATTATTATTGTAGTCATGACCAAAATAATTTTCAAATGCTTTAATATAAATCTATACTTGGTTTGTACTTCTTCATACCTATAATTACTAATAAACTATGATGACTAATTTGTAATTTTCTAAGGCTTCAGCATCTTACATGAGATAATAACCAATTCTTTAATATAAATAAATCTTTTTTTGTGAGGTAGATGAAATATATGCAGAGAGATTTACAACATATTTTGGGCATAGAGTTACTTTTTGTAGAAAGGAACTCTGACTACAATAAATGAGAAATGTTCACGAAAGTAACTTAGAGGTTTATAAATGTTTCAAGTTGTTCTTGTGTATTTAAAAAAAATAAAAATTCTGATCATAGTCCACATATTTTTGAAACAAGTTTATTATTTTTTAAATCTGAGAATGTTACTTGTATTATCAAATAATGGATTTTAAATCAAAATATTTCATTTACAATGATTGAAATGATGTTTTAAATCTAAAATTGAATAATCATTTTAAAGATCAGGTAGAAGTACATTCACTTTATGGTTGTTAGAGATTAGCAACATCAATCTCCTTAGAACCAGGAATTATTTGCTACTACAACTGCATATTAAGACAGGTCTATGATGACTTGATTGGGGAGGGGTCTTTGGATCAACATTGTCTTTAATAAAAATTCTTATAAAAGAGTATTTGCATATATTCCTCAACTGAAGACTTTTTCTACAAGTAAAGGTAACTGGGAAAAGTTCCAAAGCAATTTTTTAAAAAAAGATTAAACATTTTAAAATCTTTAAATTGTTAGGGAGACAGGGTCTTACTATGTTGCCCAGGCTAGACTTGAACTCCTAGGCTCAAGTGATCCTCCTGCATAGTTGGACTACAGGTAGATGCCACCATGCCTGGCTAGAAGGGGAGAAGTTCTCTGATTTTGTGAGTTTTCTTATTCTTTCTTTTTTTTTCTTTTTCTTTTTTGAGGAGACAGGGTTTCACTCAGCTGTCCAGATTGGAGTGTAGTGGTATGATCATGGCTTGCTGCAGCCTTGACCTCCTGAACCCAAGGAATCCTCCCTCCTTAGCCTTCTGAGTGGCTGTGACTACAAGTGTTCCTCACCACACCTGGCTAATTTTTAAATTGTTTTTGTAGAGATAGCGGTTTTGCTATGTTGCCTAGGCTGGTCTCAAACTCCTGGGCTCAAGCAATCCTCCCGCAAGTGCTGGGATTACAGGTGTGAGCCACTGCTCCTAACTTGTTTTATTTTGCTATCGACAGTTTGGGCTAGGTTATATGACCCTCACCCCCAAAATTAACTGAGCATTTATTGTGTTCTTGGTAGTGTTTTTAGCACTTTACTCATATTCTCTCAGCTCTCTTGGTTGGTTATCCCCATTTTCAGATAAGGACTATACACACAGAGAGGTTAAGAAACTTGGCCAAGGTCACACAGCTAGTATGTGACAGAGCCAGGATTTGAACCCAGTTGGACTCTTGAGACTGTACCTTTTGTTGTCGTTGTGATTGCCCAGGCTGACATCAAACTCCTGGGCTCAAGTGATGCTGCTGCCTCAGCCTCCTGAGTAGCTGGGAATATAGATGCATGCCACCATGCTCGGCAAAGTGATTTTTAAAGAAAACATACATACACACACACACACACACACACACACACACACACACACACACACACACACTCTTACTAGAACTATTTGATGAATGCAATTTTAAATTCCCATCATTTACATTTGAAAAGGAAATGGCAATAGCCTCCTGTTACCATGCTGTTTTCCTACAAAATTGCTGGTTTGACATGGAGGTCTTTGGGAGACATAGGAACCAATATAAACATCTATTCCCAAAGATGATTTACCTCAGGGGATACTTTAACCTTTAGGATAAAAAAAAAATCTTTCATCTTGTTTATCATATTTTAAACAAATTTCCCTCTCTCATATTTCACTGGGTTATTTAAAATCACTTCAGGGAAATTTAAGTCAACGACAGCATTTTTCCATTGGAGATGGGGTGGAGAGAGACATGATGTTACATTATAATTATCATAGCTCTAGTATTTTCTTTCCTAATTAGGTATTATCACATTCTGAACATTTTATCTGTCAAATCCATTCATGAGTTGTTGGCCCTGGACCTAGGCACCACAGGCAGTTTTCAGATAATAACACAAACATATTAAATACTTTACTCACCTGAATGCATTCCCATTTTCTTTTCTTTTTTGAGATGGAGTCTCGCTCTTTTGCCCAGACTGGAGGGCAGTGGCGTGATCTTGACTCACTGCAACCTCCGCCTCCCGGGTTCAAGCAATTCTCTGCCTCAGCCTCCCAAGTAGCTGGGATTACAGGTGCACACCACCACACCCAGCTAATTTTTTGTATTTTTAGTAGAGACGGGGTTTCACCATCTCGGCCAGGCTGGTCTTGAACTCCTAACCTCACGATCCACCTGCCTCGGCCTCCCAAAGTGCCAGGACAAGCGTGAGCCACCACGCCCGGCCTACCCCATTCCCATTTTCTAAGTCTGCCCTTTCTTGTACATACCTTTATTTCCTTAAACATGAAGATACCCCACATTGCAGCTATAAATCCTGGACCCTTAAATAAAAATATAAATTTTAATTAAATTGGATATTTACCTATGACTAGATTCTATATAAATATAGTAAGTTAGAGACAGTATAAACATATTTTCAGGGAAAACTACCCATAATATCAACCCTAACTCCACACTAAGCTAAACTTTAGGTGATATTAAGTAAAAAAAATGAAGACTTTTTTTCATTTTCTTTTCTTCATGGTCTTCATTTTGATTATTTTGATGATGCTATAATATTTTGTGCCACATAATACTTTAATATATCTGACATAAATTATTTTTATAAGCACATAGCTTATTTTTTCCATTGGCCTAGTTCCTTAGGATACTAGAAATGGGATTAATAAGAAAAAGTGTGCACAAGCTTCTAACTTTCTTTGGCATGAGATAATCTTGTAACTGAAGAAATTTTGGCATATTCTTTTTGGCCTAACAAATAATGTACTTGTGGAAGTAGCTCGTGCTTTAAAAATTTTTTTAACTGATATTACTACAGAGCAATCAAGTCTGGCTAACATTAAACACCAATGAATGCTAAAAAAAGGTTTATGGGAAGATTAAAATAAACGTGTAAGGAAAAACAATAGGGGTTTCTGGGCAGGAGACAAAGAAAAGAATGAAATAATACAGGACAGAGGAAATGAGAAGAAACAGGTGAAAAAAAGGAATGGTTCTGCAATTTATAAACTTTAAGCTATTCAAGTTTGGTGGTAATTCTTCTTAGCTGAGAAGGAAGAAAATTGGAATGCGGGCTAGGTGTGGTCTTTGTGGAGAAGGTGTATTGTATCAGCATTTTTATGATTGCTCTTCAAACTCCGAGAAACTCTGGAAGAGTTTCAAATAGATTCCAAAATGTTTTTCCCCTACCACTACTCCAACTGACAAAAGGACTGAGTCAATGAAGTTTGATTCCACTCTTGGTATGTAAGTGAAACAAAAAAAATACACTCCTCTCTGTTTATCAGTATCTGGAAAGTCAACATCAAAAGAGCCAGAGAAATAGGTCAAAGGAACTGCCTTTTATCAATGATGTAAGTTCCTAAGCCTCAAAATCCAAATCAAACAAGAAGCATATGGGTCTTTTAGGCAACCCACACTGACTTTCAACAGAATGAGAGGAAACAATAGAACAGAGGATACCATATTAATGTTATGCTAATCACTCAAGAATTTTTAATCTGAAAATCCATTTCCCTTCAGAGAACATGGTACAGGACAATACCACAAGGTATCATTGACCTTTGAAGATTCTTGTCTGATTGTTTTCTAAATATGAGTTTAAGCATGGCCTAAGAGTTATCGTGAGTAGTGTGGTTACAGGAAGGGTGCTTTGGTAAAAGTAATGCAAGCATAGGTCAAAGTATGTACTGACTCTTTGATTCAGGCCAAGGAGAGCCAAATAGGAAGGACATCTTCATAGGAGATACAACAGTTTTGGTAATTTGGATTGTATATTTTCCTTTTGTAAACTAATGTAAGTTAGGTGTAAATCAGCCTTTGAAAACAAAGTGAACTCGCTCCTATCTTAAGATTAAGCTGATTCAGTTTAGAATTATCAAGGAAGACATGGAGCAGAGGTAACAGCCCCTGCTAGGTGACTTTTTTCTTTCTTTCTTTCTTTTTTTTTAGCTTTTTAATGGAATGTTATTTGCTAATAAACAAAGTGGATACTACTTTCAAGGAACTCAGTCTAGTTACCACTGGATATATAACTATGGGAATATGTATACCTGAGAAGAACAGCACTGCTGGGATATTTAAAATGTATTCTGATAAAATTGATTGACCATATTCATAATTGTTGAAACTAGGTGATAGGTTCGTTTGACATTTTAAGTTTAAAAAAGTTTTAAAAATCTAGCCCTACCAAAAAAATAAAATAATGAAGAATGTAAGATTGTTGAGGGTAGGGACTAACTCTTCTGTGTGTAGATAAGGTTGTCCTTGGATAAAGTGACTAAAATAAAACCAAGCAAGGGCCTGGTAGCAATAGGGACCTACTCCCTCACCAATTCCAAATACCTGTCCTTCCCAGATAACAAGCACCAAGCGCACAAGGTAAGAAAGTTATGCCTGGTGAGTGAGAAGGCTTTGCTTCCATTACAGTTTTTCAAGAATAATCTCTGTGATGGGCAGGTTGCCAAAAGCCACAGTGACCACTTTCACTGATCCTCTGCCCACACTCACCTACTTCAGTGGTTTATTTCCTTTGAATTAGGCTTTCATTTTGTCCTCAGTCTTTATTCTAACTCAAAACAAGAAACAATGGTAGAAAAACCAACTCTCTGTCTACTATAAAAGTTTTGTGAAGGATATTGTTTGTTTGTTTTTCAATGTTCCCTTTAAGAGGTCCCATATTTATAAACTTTTATATAAGGAGAGAATAATAGTTATCAATAGCAAATTACAATGTCGCTAAAATTACATTAGATAAACCAATCAAACCAAAAACTGCAAGGATATTAAAGATTAAGGAGTAACAGCCCTGCTAAAATGAGGTGAGAAATGTTCCTTAGCAATCAAGCACATGAAGATTCAAGAGGGTCAGTTTATCTATCTGAATCCATTAATTGTATTCCTAAAAAATCAAACTCCATGACAGTCTTTAGCGATGCCCTAAGAGTGCTTCAGAAAAATTGGGTTTACATTTATAAAATGAAAATTAGGAAAACCAGTTCAGCTACTTACAGCAGTGATTATTGGAAAACTGACCACAGCACTCAGAGAGTGATTTGCTATGAACCAACAGCAGGTAGCTATAGCCCAAAGTACTCCTGACAGGAATCCTGAAATACAAAGACAACACACATTTGCAGACCATGTTCCCCTCCTGAAGAACTCACACTGAGCTACAACAGGAATATCAAAGTGCACATATAAATGCATTCTAATCAATGTTGTTGGCCAACATGGAATTTTGAGCTGTGTTTTATTGTTATTTTAGAGCAAGTAATTTCTCTACTCTTGCCTGCTATGGGTAGAGTGATCAATGCTTTCACATTATCAGCATTAAAGTACCCATAGTAGTAAAAGAGGTAGAGACTGGGTGATGAAAAGGGGACTAGGGGACATACTGAACCCGAACATTATCTGCAAATACCATTTACCGTAAACCATAGATATTAATAAAGTGGATCAGAGTGATGCTACGGCTAAGAAAAAAAAAAAACCTGTAGTATTTAAGTAAAACTACCAGCTAAAACTTTCACAGCACTTTAGCTAGGCATTCAGTATTCTAGCATTTTCTACACGGTGGCATTCTTTAGCATAAATCTGTTAGGCATTCAGAACAAGTCTCTGACTTATGCTTTATTTTTGCCTTTAAAAAATTTTACTTGTGGACCTACATTCCAAATTGAATCATAATAAACTCCTAAATGAGATTTTTAAAAAAGATCAATGCCTAATGAATTAAATCCAAAAGCATGTATGTTTAACATATGTCTTTTTTGAAGTCATCACGATCTCTTCTTACATTTTGTAGAAACTGTTTTCCCAAGTTACTGCATATTCCTATTTGTTGATATATGAACCTTTAGATAGTGAAAAAGAAATAGTAAAGAATGATGATCAATACAGAAGATGTTTGGCACAGGAAAATATCTTATTAGTAGATTTATTGTTTAAGTTTTAGGTTCTGTAATAATGGCCAACATTGCATATTCAGTTTCAAGGATTTAAAATACTTCATATTTGGTGGTGAACTGGGCAAAAGTAATTAGGGGGAATGAACATGCACACACACACACACACAACACACACACACCACATATACACACAGAGGATGGCTTTGTTTCCAGAAGAAACTTATTCAAGTTAAATGAGTTGTAGATGACACTTTCATATAGTAAGAAGATCTGTAGTACATATTCTTACCTGGTAGGACTGCTTCAGGATATAGTTTAGGACTATTTTTCATGGCTATGCAGTAGGCCAGAAAGTAGACAGTACTTGTAAGAAAGATGCCACTGAAGTGCGCAAACACATAGTCTAAATCTGAAAATAGACATTAAAAACTCTCAAACACCATTTTAATCATTCCAGATATATTTAGATTTCTGAAAATAAACTCACCAGAATTAACCTTAAAGGCAAATAAACCATTAATTAGGCAGAGCGCAGTGGCTCACACCTGTAATCCTAGCACTTTGGGAGGCCGAGCCGGGTGGATCACGAGGTCAGGAGATCGAGACTGTCCTGGCTAATGCAGTGAAACCCTGCCTTTACTAAAAATACAAAAAATTAGCCAGGTGTGGTGGCAGGTGCCTGCAGTCCCAGCTACCTGGGAGGCTGAGGCAGGAGAATGGTGTGAACCTGGGAGGCGGAGCTTGAAGTGAGCAGAGATCATGCCACTGCACTCCAGCCTGGGCAACAGAGTGAGACTCTGTCTCAAAAAAAAAAAAAAACCCCATTAATTATATTTAATCATCCTAGTTTTCTACATGCTGTTCATATAGAATTTTAATTAATATATTTAAAATCTAGATACATTAAGTAGTAAATTAGTTACTATAATCAAAACTAAAGGCTAGTTTTTATGATCATCTGGTAAAGCTAAATAAGAAACAATGAATTATGTAACTATGATGTTAATACCTCCCTTTTAAAAATAGGCACTCAGGCCTAATTTTACTAATGACAATAGCAATTATAGCAAATCCTCAGGTTGACCACAGTGAGAATGTGAATGAAAAAAATTGGGGGTGCTAACTTTACAGGATCCATTGATCAATCTGGAGACCAGCATCTCTGTTGCAGATGACAGCTGTACAGAAGGCTGTTCAGGAAGTTAATCCAGAGAGGGCTTTATTCAATTGTTGATTATAAAACGAAGTACATGGGGGAGTTAATATCACATCATGGTGGCCCAATCTCGGAAAAATCCCAACTCCACTGACTGTTTAAGCAGATGGGACTGTGGCCACACAGATGGGTGCACTACAGGTTCTTGGCTGGGAAAGCCATGTTGGATTTAATGTTTCTGTCCCCTAAAATTTTGACAAAGATGAGTGGCCATGTTTAGGAAGAAAAGTTTGACAGAGAGTTTGTCTGTTGCTCTAAGTCTTAAATCCTATTTCTGGATCATGTAAGGGCAATACATCTATATATGGACCACCACAAAAGAAAGCAAAATACAGTGATTAAAAGCATGGACCACCTGGGTGCAAATCCTCATTTCAATACTCACTAACTTTGGGACTTGGACAAATCATCTCACGTCTCTGTCTTAATTTTCTCAATCGTAAAACAAAGAAAGGGTATTAGTTGCTATGAGAATTAACTGAGTATTTGTAAAATACTTAGGACAGAGCACATATTACATATGTGTTTTTAAATAAATGAAATAAAAATAATCCCCCCTCATTATTTTTGAATAAACTGGGATAAAGTGTTCCCATCACATTACATTCAGAGTTGTCACAAGCAAGATCCCTAAGAAGCCATTGTTCTCTTTGTGTGGAGATTGGTGAGGACACTGTTTATTATGTCCCTGTACCAAGAACATCTGTGCTCCTGAACAATTAGTTGTTTTTATCTTGTGCTCATTGAATCATGAGACTGATCTGATTTCCCTTGTGCCTACAAGGACTCTAAGAGCCAAATTTATGCCTCCTTTCTAGCAAGTATACAAATGTAGTATAAAGTTTTTAGATTCGTTTCTGGTTCCTTTTATATACCCACTCTTGTTTTTCTTTCTTTAGTGAGACCTTGTTTTAATTTATTCTATGTTATTCTATTTTTATTAATTTCTATCTTTTTGTAAAAATGCAAAAAAGTATTTGTATAAAATTTTAACAAAAGAAAGACAGAAGTCAGTAAAAGGTTTGAGTAATATACATGGGGCTAACTATAAAAAGGAAGATGGAAATTATGGCATCTACTCAGTCTATCCATTCTGTTAAAGTTGAGTTCAAATCTCAACTTCTTTAACAATCTTTCCCTCACGACTTTTGCCCTCCAAATTCTCCTTTATCTGAACAGAGGTCACATTAATTTTCTGTGCCATCTGATTTAGAACTTTATTTTATGAATGATCTTATTCTCTTATCATTTCATGGTTGTAAGCCATGCTTCAACATAATTAGTAGATCCCCAAAGTAAACACTTTCATCTCCTTTTGAACCTGTACAAGGCTATTGCATATAGTATTGAGTTTACTCTTGGGAGATTAATTCTGTCAATGGAAACTGAGATATTAACAGGAAGCATTACATTGGGCCTTCCAGTGCATGACTCTGTACTTTAAAAATAATATCCTCTGACCAAGTAGGCTATACATTAACCTTTACCTCATTTTAAAGTACTATGTACTACACTTTAGCCTTTTTAAAAGAACAGAAGTATATATATTTTCCCAGAGATCATCTAACTGGAAAATAATTTCCAAATCTTACTGGAAAGTCAGAAACCATGTGTTGAGATCCAAGTAGTTGAAAAGAGTCCTGGCTAAAGTTGGTTGCATTTGTATGTTAAAGATCATATGAAAATGCTCAATCCTTTATTATTTTTGGTGTTCAATGCCTTTCTAATTCGCCACTTACAAGGACAAAGAAAGATCGAATCGACCCATCAATATTTACTATTATCACAATTCTTTTTATATTCATAAAAAGTAGATATTAATAAAGTAAGATAACTTTTTATTCTCACCATATTGGCTTGCCCCTGCATATATACTATCATTTCTTTTGCTGTGGTCCTTGATGTAGATGATTGGCACAAATGTAGATCCATAGAGTACTCCAGATATCACTGCAAGACTGCAGCCCCTTACAAAACAAATAAATCACTATTAATCTTGGCTCAAAGCAGTATTTCTGACAAACGCACAAATGGAATCATAAACATGCTTCAAAAGGCAAATCACAAACAAGCAAAAACCATCCATTTATCTCAAGCTCTGTGACTGGCGGAAGTCACAGAAATACCCTGCAGTATTAAAGTGGCATCAGGACTAGGAGGACAGCTTCAGTCCACCAGTGTCTAATTTTAGAAGTACATGATTTATAGAAATTAAAATGGATTATAATTATGTTGTCATTACATAGATGAGAATATTGCTACAGTTATATTGTACAGTCTACATAAATAAACTTGGCACTCTAATTAAATTGAGATATCTATATACTGACACCATGCTTTATGATTTTTTAAAAATTTTAACAGGCCATGCTATCCAGCACAGAACTAGGACAGACTAAGTACTAAATGCATTTTTGTTGAAAACAACTATTGAAATCCACGAACTTGCCTATGCCTTAGTTGACAATGCCATGGTCAAGAAGAAGTGCTGATTTAATTAAATAATCTGGGTATTTCAGACAAAACATTTCTTTTTATAAAAAAGAAAATGTTTCATTTTCAGCACTGGAGTCAGGCGGACTCCCCAGACTTGGGCCATATCTGCATGAAGCAAGCATTTCCAATGATTGTAGGGGGAGGTGATTCATATTTTGGAACAGTTCCTTGAAGTTAACACAAAGGACAATGACAGAAAACAGAAAACAGGCCAGGCGTGGTGGCTTTCGCCTATAATCCCAGCACTTTGCCACTGCACTCCAGCCCAGGCGACAGAGTGAGACCTTGTCTCTAAAAAAAACAAAAAAATCACACAAAAAACCCTTCCAAACAGAAGACAGTTGTAGGCAAAAACAATTCCCTCCAAAGCTTAAAAATTAAATCAGTCAATTTAAATAGTACTATAAAGTAACATGAGCCTGTAGAAATTCACAAGACCACCTTGGCAACATGTTCTACTCATCCTGGAAATCCCTGTGTCACGTGAGGTCTGGACTTCATAGCCGTGGAGCGTCCCAAACGCAGACAAGACTAATAGACTAAGCCTAGCTAATTACAAGACAACTAACATATTTTTCTTTAAAAATATCTTAATGAAGGGGAGGCTTTGTGAAAAAAAAATTTGAAAAAATTTTTTGTTTGAAAGGTTGGTTTTATTCTGACGCAAAACCAGCAACATATTTATTTCTTCCAAATGTTGTTTGTTATTCTTTCATTCATTCAAATTATTCAAATATTTATTGAGTATCTACTATGTGTCAGGTGCTGCTCTTTCCCCCTGTAAACATAGCATACACGCTATCAAAAAGAAGGCTTTATATTCTTGAGTCAAAAGGTGTCACCACATGAAGTTTAAAGCAGCCATCAAATGTAAAATGCAAACTATATACTAGTGTGTATTTTCATATTTATTTGGAAGTCCAAAAAACAGAACAACCACAAAAAAAACACCCTAAAGTAGAGGGGCTGATGTTGAGCCCAACTCCCTGAGTTCTTATGGAGATAGAGGGAGTAGGACCCACACGGACACAGAATGTTCCACTATATTTGACAATGAATGTCTGGAATTATATAACTGTCTAAACACAGGAGTGTGGGGATTCCCAGAGCAGGGTGGGCATCCTGGGTGGTGCAGTGCTAGACAAGTTTATTGCCTAATCTGACTATGACTGCTGAGAGCAGGTTGGTCACGTTACTACCTCTTTTACTTTAGCTACACAAGTCATGCAAAATTAGGTTGCTTTTATTATCTACTTATCATTTGGAGATAAATGCAATGATTTAGTAATTACTCAAAGCAGTTGAGCTCAAGGGCATCTGTACCTAAAATTCAGCTGGGGACAAAAAAACCTCGCCGCATGGAGATAGAAGTCAAAGCTTGCATTACAATTTTCTTCTTGAACTCAGATGAACATTACTTCATGCTGGTAATCCCTGCTTTAACCAAATATGAAACAGAGTAATAGAGCAAAGAAGTAACCTCTCCTTACACTATGCGGTGGTGTACTGTAGAAAGTTTATCCACCCAGGAACAGGGGTCTTGGGTTGTGTTGATCACCTATTGAAAACATTGGCCCAAATTAAAACAAAAGAACATTCAATTGATAATCACACTGGTGACAATATTTCTAGTGCTTTTCTCTTCTCTTTCAAACATGCTTTAAAATATAATAAACATGTCACCTATGCATTCTGATATCTCTAAACTCAACTGTTTCTAATTGTTTCCTCTTTCATTTAGGATGACTTGGCAGTTGGCAAGTCTTCCATTTCAAATTCTCACATTTAATATGTGGCTATTGTGATACACCTATAAAAACTAATAAAACTTATTATCTCATGTTTCATTTGCATATTTTAATGGTCTGCATAATCTGTAAGGAAATTAGACTCTCCTCCTATGGAATGCTTAAGATCAATGAGCATTTCTTATACTGATTTGTTTTTTTTACTAAATTAGTTAATAAAACATTCCAAGCCATGTTTCAATATTAGGCTGATATTCTAAGCCAGGAAAAATTATGAGCAAATTCATATTTCTACTATGGAATTACAGTACCCCTCCCTTATCTGTACTTTCACTTTCTGTGGTTTCAGTTACTCACTGTCAACAGTAGTCCAAAGACATTAAATGAAAAATTCTGGAAATGAATAATTCATAAGTTTTCAATTTCACACTGTTCTGAATAGTGTGATGAAACCCTGCATCGTCCTTCTCCATCTCACCTGGAACGTGAATGATCCCTATGTCCAGCCTATTCATATCGTATACACTGCCTGCCCCCGAGTCACTTAGTAGCTGTCTTAGTGATCAGATACAAAGACATACTATATATAGGTTTGGTACTATCTGTGGTTTCAGGCATTCCTTGGGTGTCTTGGAACATATTCCCTGTGGATAAGGGGGGTATATTATAATACTATAGCCGAAGTGTTTTTTTGGTTTTTTTTTTTTGAGATGGAGTTTCATTCTTGTTGTCCAGGCTGGAGTGCAGTGGTGTGATCTTGATTCACTGCAACCTCCTCCTCCCAGGTTCAAGTGATTCTCCTGCCTCAGCCTCCCAAGTAGCTGGGATTACAGGTGTGTGCCACCACACCCAGCTCATTTTTTTTTTTTTTGTATTCTTAGTAGAGATAGAGTTTCACCATGTTGGACAGGCTGGTCTTGAACTCCTGAACTCAGGTGATCTGCCCACCTTGACCTCCCACAGTGCTGGGATTACGGGCATGAGCCATCACGCCTGGCCAACTGAAGTGTTCTTGATGTTATAATCCTATTATTTTTGTAAGAGACAAGAAAGTAGATTTGAATTCTTTGTCATGTGCTAAGTCAAGTTTTCCTTTGGCAATAACGGTTTCTTTCATCATAAGGAGCTCATGATGCATGGTTCTGTACCCATCAATCATGCTGTTTATGGATCTTTAAACTTATTGCCTAGAAAAATCTCAGGCAGTTAGCCTACTGTGTATCTTTTACCAAGCTGCATTTATTTTATTATTTTGTTCCATTGTTTTGGAGGATGGTTGGGCAGGAGGTGTCTGGATCCCTGAAGCAGGCAAGGAACCCTTTCCCAAAGCCAACTCCTCCCTTCTCCCTGAAACATTTCCCTGATTAGAGATGCCTGTGGATTAATAAACCTCTTCTCTTTACACTTAAGCTAATTACTATTCAACTTTAGTGTCAATTTAACTAAGGTTTTAGTTGATAAAAGTTTGGATAGGGGAAGAAGGAAAGGAGAAAAGATTAATTTTGAAGTAAGGGGTAAATAAGCACCCTGCCAAGGGGCAATACCCCACTGGGGGTGAGGAGCGCTGGATTCAGAGGGCAGCTGGATAGCACTGGCCCAGGGCAGACAGGAGAGATTTCTTGAGATGAGAAGGATTAGAGCCTGGGTTCATGACAATGAGGCTTTGCCCTGAAGTCACTTTTGTATATGTAGCTACTGACACTTGCGCTTTATCAGGTCCCTTTTAAAAGTTGCTCCTGTTTCATTCAGATTTACTATTCCAGACTGATTTAGATTCTTCAAGATCAAAACAGTGACTCCTATCATATTTTCTGTTTTTCACTTCGGGTAGAATGGGATACCAGTTCCTATTCTCATAGGACTTCACTTACCTTTCTTGGCCTCCTATGGTCTATTCTCCCCTGGACCAACTTCAAAACCTCCTTCCTCTGACTTTCTAAAGTTATTTTCACATTCCTCTACAGTATTTAGGGTTCCTCTATTGTAGGAATCTTTAAATCATTACAAAAATGGGGTTATATATATATCACCTAGTAGAGATCTGTTAATCAAAATAAATAAACCCGTGTGCTTGCTGAGAAGCTCAACTGCGGAAATATTGATTGATTGCTACATAGACCTACCCATAATAAATAAGCTAAGATATTTTACATAGCCAGGAGTGATGAGCAAACACCACTTTTTCATCTGTGTTTAAAATTTATGTATTATCCATTTATCTTAATTTTATGTTTCAAATCAAGTTGTCTCTCATACTATACTCACATGCTCTGTTATTAATGGAGTGGTATCCATGGAACACGTGTTATTTGGTATTTCACTTTTGATGAACAAAAATATGAAAGCACTGTAAGGAAAATAAATTTTAGTGATATTTATCATAATACTGGTTTATATCAAGCTGCTTGATTTTTAAGAAAAAAACACACACCTTAAATAATCGGATCCTAATGATACAATGATTACTTTCAAATTGCCCCTTCAGTGGTCCTGCCGTTTTGCCAGAACTCCTATTCTCTTAGATGTTTCTCATTTTCCTTAATTACAACAGGCTAAAGGCTAAACTCATAAGCTTTCCTTCTACATCAGATATTTCCCTTAACTTTGAAATCACATTGTAAAAGAAACACAAATGAAAACTACATTGAAATAATATTTCTTAGCTATTATATCGACCAACTTCAAAAGTTGAACATCCTCAGTTGGACAAACGCTAGGGGACAGATACTCTCAGATACTGCTGATAGAAGTGCAGAACTGTATAACTCACACAGAGGAGAATCTGGGGTGATCTACTGAGGCCACCGGTGTGTCCACTTCTGACCTTACCAATCCTGCCGGAGGCCCACTCACACAGGTACACTCAAACTCAGGTGAGGTGGCCTACATGGTCATGCAATGGAATACTATGCAGCTGTAAAAATGGAATAATGATGATCTCTATGCTCTGATATGGGAAGATCTCCAGGATATAGTTTAAGAGATAAAAACATACATTTAAATCTAGTGACATTTTTCCCTTTAACATCTCTCTCATAATACACTATTGATGTCCTGTATCTTTGCAACAAATGCCTCACTTACTCTTGGCTTTTAAGCCATGCAAATTTGTTAAAATGTGTCAAAAGATTAAATTAACTTGAGAAAATGAACAACGTTGGGATACTTTTAACATCTCTTTTGAAATACTTTTAAAATACATTTGCATGGTTCAACATTTCAAACAAAATAAGAAGCTTTCAAAGCATATATGACACTGAAATAGGGTAGGTAGCTAGGTACAGAAGAGTGTCTATCATATGCTGTCTTTTGTGTAAAAATTAAAATGCTCTAGTTAGGTTTCTTTGTTCAATCTCTTACTTGCTTTAAAACATGAATAGTTTCATATTCCTTTCCATATGAGATTTAACTTTCCTTTTTGATTTTTATGGCTCTCTGCATTATGTTCCATCCAACCTATCTCAACATAAATCCTCGTATTGGCTTCTATGCCTGACCACTCCCTGCTCCAAGCTGTCTACCAACCCCCCTCCCCAATTTTTCACAACGACTTGCACTTGCTTCTCTTTCTTCCCTAGCTGGACACCCTAGATACTCTTTGTCCTGTCCAAACTAAAGAAGAGTTGAAGTGTTGAATGTGGTTTAAAAAAAAACTTCCCCTTGGGCCAGTCCTCACTGAATCTTCCTCTTTGAATCCCCACAACACTAAGAATAGTTACCACACAATCTAGACCATTTGCCACAATGTAATCTTTTTTTCTCTAAAGATTTTCTAATTCAATAAAAGCCAATGTTGGGGTCAGAAAATGATACCCCAAATTACGGCACTTCGGCGTGCTGAGTACTTTGAACTATAGGAGATTGGAAGGCCTCAGAAGCAGCCTCAGAAGGAAAGTCTCTCTTTGACTTCCTCATGCCTTGATGGCTTCCACTCACCTTTCTCCCACAAAGCAGGCCACAGAAATTAGAATTCCTCTTCTCAAAGATGAGTTATGGACACTAGAATCCCTCTTCCTCAAAACCAGCCATGAAACCTAGATCAGTTACTCCAACAACCCCCAACCCTCCACGTTCTGTGTAGGAGCTGGCTATAAAGAAATTCTCTGACCTACCTTGTCTAGATCATAAGACCCTCATTCCAGAGGGGTCCTGCTGTATATCAAAGAAGAAGAAATACTATACAAAGAGACCAAGAAGAATCCGAACAGGCGGGTTTTGCTATGTTTCTCCCCTCAGTCTATTACCATTAGATCATACCCTTTGTGTAATTACATTTCTACATGGCTGTCAAATCTTCAAATCTAAGCAGAAAAACAGATGTTTTTTCCCTGGGTCTTTGGGTCTTCAGGTTCCCATGTCATGCAGAACTTTGATTAAATTTGTTATGTTTTTGTCTTGTCAACCTGTCTTTTATTATAGGAGTGTCAGCCATGACCCTTATGATAGGGAAGAAAGTTATCACACCTTTCCACCCCTACAGTAGAAACCACATCTTATATCTCCTTCAGGGTCCTCAAGATATTTAACATGTAGTAAAATTGAATGCATAAAGCCTAATATATATGAGTTACATATATGTGTGTTTTATATATATTATATATATATTTACACACACATATTTGTGTAAATATGTATTTCTGTGTGTGCATATATATATATATATTTGTAAGGTTAATATTAGACATCAATTGGCATTTTGTTCTCAAAATTATACAACGAAAATCCTCTACTCTGTATAGACCTGTGTGTTTTTCTAATAAACAATACAGAATGATATGTTAGAAAACACTTGAAAGCTACAGATAGGATGGGTGGGACCAAGATGGACAACTAGTAACAGCAGCAATCAGAGGCTCACATCAAAAAGAATGATAATTAGTGTGTGACTCCTTCACTGGCAACCAAGGTATCCAGATTCTCTCATCAGAACTGACTAGGTGGCTGACATAATAACGGTCAGGAAGGAAAAGCAGTGTGGTCTAGTGGCCCACCTGAGAGCCACACAGGGCTGCAGGACCCCCACACCCCAGCCAAGGGAATTGGTGAGTGAGCATGCTACCCAGCTGGGGAAACCATGCTTTTTCCACAGAACTTGCAACCTACAGATTGGAAGATCCCACTTGCAAACCTACGCCACTGGGGCCTAGGGTCCCAACACTAGAGCCATGCAGATTCTCAACAGCCTCTCCGCTGGAATCTGCCTCAGCCTGCTGAGCTCCCGAAGGGAGGGGTGACCAGTACCACAGCTGCAGCTGCCTGCTGCCTAAGCCATCTGAGCTCCTTGGGGAAGGGGCAGCAGCCAGCACTGGGACTCATTACCATCTAACACGCTAAGCTCCCTGGGTGAGGGAAGGGTAGCATCCAGCTCTATAGCTCCAGGCCATGCTTTTCCACTGCCGGAGCCAGGGAGGCTGGAGAGCTTGATCCCCAAGAAGTGTTCCCTAAAGCCCAACACACTGTCTGTGGCAGAATGTGGCCAGAGCACCTCTTCAGGCCTGACCCTGACCCATCCTTTCTCACTGGGCGGGGCCTCCCTGCAGGAACTCCAACAACTCTAGCCTGAGTCTCAGGGACAGAACCCTAGCCTCCCTGGGCCTCCCTTAGTGGGAGGGTTGGCCATAGTCTCTGCAGACCAGCAGAGTTAGCCTTTCCTCCAGTAGTTCTGAGGAATCTGGATAGACCAGATAAATGGTTTTCCCCCCAGCGAAGCTCACCCCCTCCAAAAGGGACAGTCAAAGTGCTGCCTTAAATGGGTCCTGTTCCCCATGCCACCCAACTGGGTGAGATCCTCTAACAGGGTTTGTCAGGCACCCTGTACAGGAATGATCCTACTGGCATCAGGTTGGTGCCTCTTGGGGTCCGAGATCCCAGATGAAGAAGAAGGCATCCATCTTTGCTGTTCTTCAGCCTCCTTGAGTAACATCTCTAAGCGCGGGAGCAAACCAGATGAATAGGCCCTGAAGTGTACCCCCAGCAAACCACAGCAGCCCTACAGAAGAGTGACCTTGAGAGAAGAGAGACAGACCTTTTCATATTGTTTTATACTCAGAAAAGGGAAGAGAAGCGAAACTAAAGGCAGGTAGCCCGGCGCCTAGGAACCAGACCCAAAACCAAGGAACCAGACCTGAAACCAGGCCTGGGCTTGCCTGACCTAAGCCTGGTAGTTAAAGATCGACCAATGGCCTAACCGGTTATGTTACCTATAGATTCCAGACATTGTATGGAAAGGCTCTGTAAAAATCCCTGTCCTGTTCTGTTTCGTTCTGATTACCGGTGCATGCAGCCCCCAGTCAACTACCCCCTGCTTGCTCAATCCATCACGACCCTCTCACGCGGACCCCTTTAGAGTTGTGAGCCCTTAAAAGGGACAGGAATTGCTCACTTGGGGAGCTTGGCTCTTAAGACAGGAGTCTTGCCCGATGCTCCTGGCCGAATAAACCACTTCCTTCTTTAACTCCGTGTCTGAGGAGTTTTGTCTGCGGCTCCTCCTGCTACATTTCTTGGTTCCCTGACCGGGAAGCGAGGTGATTGGCAGATGGTCGATGCAGCTCCTTAGGCGGCTTAAGCCTGCCCTGTGGAACATCCCTGCGAGGGACTCCGACCAGCCCAAGCGACATGGATCCTGAGAGCGCTCCCGGGTAGGCATTTGCCCCGGTGGGATGCCTCACCAGAGCAGTGTGTGGCAGGCCCCTGTGGAGGATCGACGCAGTGGCTGAATACTGGGAAGGAACTGGTACTTGGAGTCCAGACATCTGAAACTTGGTAAGACTAGTCTTTGTAACTTGCCTACTCCATCCATTTGAGTGGAAGCGTGGCCTGATCACCCATGGCGTGCCCTTATCGGCACTTTGATTTAGTTTTGGTTTTGGTTTTGACTTGGTTTGAATTGCTTGACAGCACCAGTCTTGGGAACTTGCCCACTCCATTTGAGTGGAAGCGTGGCCTGATCACCCATGGCATGCCTTTATCGGCACTTTGATTTTGGTTTTGGTTTTGACTTGGTTTGATTACTTGACAGGACTGGTCTTGGGAACTTGCCTACTCCATTTGAGTGGAAGCGTGGCCTGATCACCCACGGTGTGCCTGTACTGGCACTTTGGTTTTTCTTTTTGACTTGACTTGGATTGCTTGATACTTTGGTTTTGGTTTTGACCTGGCTTGGATTTCTGGATACTCTGATTTTGGTTTTGATTTTGGTTTGGTGTAAACTGCAAAAGTGTGTGTGTGCCTTTTTACCCGTTCTTTGCTTTGTGGTGTGTGTGTGGTGTGAGCATGGTGTTTTGCCTCGAAGAAGCATGGGTCAGGCACAGATAAGCTGACCCTACTAGGAAATACATTGAAAAATTTCAAGAAAGGATTTAAAGGAGACTATGGAGTACTATGACACCAGGAAAACTTAAAACTTTGTGTAAAGTAGACTGGCCAGCATTGAAGGTAAGTTGGCCATCAGAAAGAAGCCTGGACAGGTCTCTTGTTTCAAAGGTATGGCCCAAGGTAACCTGTAAAGCCAGGGCACCCAGACCAGTTTCTGTACATAGACGTTTGGTTACTGGTTCTATACATATACGCTTGGAGAGCTGGTTTTAGAGCTCTCCACAGTGGTTGAGAGAACTGCAGAATAAGCGAGAAGAGAGAGAGGAAGAGACAGAGGCAAAAGGAAAGTCAGAGAGAGACAAAGTCAAAGAGATAAAGAAAGAGAGAAAGAGAGATATATATATAAGTAGTTAAGAAAAAAAACAGTGTACCTTATTCCTTTAAAAGCCAAAGTAAATTTAAAACCTGTAATTGATAATTGAAAGTATTCTCTGTAACCCTATAATGCTCCAATACCACTTCATTGTCAGTGTAAACAATGGCGTATCCTGAAAGCACTGAGGCCTTCCTATCAAAAATCCTTAACCCAGTAACCCGTGGATGGCCCAAATGCATTCAGTCTGTAGCGGCAACTGCTTTGTTAACAGAAAAAAAATAAAACAAAAATAACTTTTAGAGGAAACCTCATCGTGAGCACACCTCACTAGTTCAGTTCAGAAGTATCCTAAATCAAAAAAGCAAAAAAGCAGCTTACTAACTCAAAAATATTAAGGTATGAGGCTATTCCGTTAGGAAAAAAAAAAAAAAGCCATCTATACCAATTCTAAATTAATTTGGACAAAACAAGGTCTTATTAATAGCAAAGGATAATTAAAATCCCAAACTTACAAGGTTTTCAACAAAAGTAAAGTTTGCTAAAAGTTAACAGTGTAACATGTATTATACTAACTTCTATTCTTGTGGCCTCAGACAGCCTAGCCCACAGACATAAAAGAAGTTCGCTTTAGAAAGAATAGTTATCATCTTCAAAAGAAAAAGAAAAGAAAAAAAGGGGGGGCGGGATTTATGTAAAAAGAGTATTATATGGTAAATTCTTGCCCTGAAATAAATTAACTGGTTGTTTAAAGAAAAAAATATTTGTAATAAGTCAGAAAGTTAAAGCATGTCAAAGAATTGTCGGCGAAAGTTGTGAAAGAGAAAAAATGTTATAAAAATGTTATAAAAAAGAATTTATGCAAGAAATGTTGTATAATTTAAAAGTAGCTAGGCCTCCTGAATGTAAAACAAAAACAAAAACAAAACAAAACAGTTTATGTGCAAGGTGTATAAAGAAAATAAAATATACTTTTGATAAAAGAATTATAAGAAGGCATAAAAATATAAATTTTTACCTACATTAAAAGGTTAAAAATATGTATATTTTGTTTTAAAGGTTTAATCAAGTTTTAAAATGTTAATTAGAAAGAAAATTCCATGTGTAAACATTGGCTAAAGTTAAAGAGGTATCATGCAGTTTTTCTGTAAACTGGCCATTAAAATAAAAGCATAGCAGGCTTTTCCTAAATCACCAACCTGCTCTTTAGCAAAAATTATAAAAGATTAAAAAGAGTCTATAAAATCTTACCTTATGCTCAAACATTAAAAATTGGATAAATATGTCTACAAGATTTTATTAAAATTAAGTTTAACATTAATAACACACTAATATAAAGGTAAAATTTAGCTTATCTGGTATAAAAATCATACATTCATTTTACTAGAGGATCATAGAAGTTAAAGACTTAAAACAAACTTTAGCAATTAAGACAGGATACCAAGATGCAAATGCCTGGTTAAAATGGATCAAATATTCCATCTGCACGTTAAACAAAAGCAATTGTTATGCTTGTGCACATGGCAGGCCAGAGGCCCAGATTGTCCCCCGCTCCACTAAGGTGGTCCTCCAGTCGACCAGGCATAGGCTGCATGGTAGCTCTTTTCCAGGATTCTATAGCCTGGAGTAATAAGTCATGCCAAGCTCTCTCTGCTATATCCCGAAGTCCGGCACCCTGCGGGTCAGCCCCCGAGGGCCATCCAGCTTCCATCTCCCAACACTAAATTCACTTCGTGTCTCTCACGACAGGGAGGAAACAGCATTCCTTAGAGACCTGAAAGGATGTGATGAGTTTAAGAATTTTCAAGAGCTTATCAATCAGTCAGCCCTTGTTCATCCCTGAACGGATGTGTGGTGGTATTGTCGTGGACCTTTACTGGGCACTCTGCCGAATAACTAGCATGGCACTTGTGCTTTAGTCCATTTGGCTATCCCTTTCACCCTGGCATTTCATCAACCAGAAGGAGAAAAAAATAAGACATCGTAAAGTGAGAGAAGCCCCTTATAGGTCTTTCAACTCTCGTATCTATTTAGATGCAATTGGGGCCCCACAAGGAATACCAGATCAATTTAAAGCTTAAAATCAAATAGCTACAGGATTTAAGTCAATATTTTAGTGGGTGACAGTTAATAAAAATGTAGTTTAGATAAACTACATCTATTACAACCAACAGCAACAAGCTTTTCATGAGTTAAAAGAAAAACTCATGTCAGCCCCAGCCCTGGGGCTAACTGAGCTGACAAAACCCTTTACACCCTACGTGTCAGAAAAAAAATGGCAGTTGGAGTTTTAACCCAGACTATAGGGCCCTGGCCAAGGGCCAGTGGCCTATCTCTAAAAAAAACAACTAGACAGGGTTTCCAAAGGCTGGCCCCCATGTCTAAGGGCGTTAGCAGCAATGGCCCTGTTAGCACAAGAAGCAGATAAGCTAACTCTTAGGCAAAACCTAAACATAAAGTCCCCCCATGCTGTGGTGACTTTAATAAATACCAAAGGACATTACTAGCCAATGAATGCTAGACTAACTAGATATCAAAGCTTGCTCTGTGAAAATCCCTGCATAACCATTGAAGTTTACAACACCCTGACCCTGCCACCTTGCTCTCGGTATTAGAGAGCCCAGTTGAACATAACTGTGTAGAGGTATTAGACTCAGTTTATTCTAATAGGCCCAACCTCTGAGACCACCCTTAAACATCAGTAGACTGGGAGCTGTACGTGGATGAGAGCAGCTTCGCCAACCCCTGCAAAGTGACTCTGAAGAAGACGACAAGCCCTGCTCCAGTCACACCCAGAAGCTGACTGGTCCACGCATGGCCGAAGCATGAGGAAACTCATCGCAGAACTCATTTTCCTTAAAATTTGGACTTGTATAGTAAGGACTTCAACTGACCTTCCTCAGACCGAAGGCTGTTCCCAGTGTATACATCAAGTCACTGAGGTAGGATGAAAGGTTGCTACGGTCCTATTATTTTACGGTTATTATAAGTGTACGAGAACTCTAAAAAAACTTATTTGTATAATGTTATTCTATACAAGGTATGTAGCCCAGGAAATGACCAACCTGATGTGTTTTATGACTCATCTGAGCCTCCCATGACCACAGTTTTTAAAATAAGATTAAAGATCTCATAAGTGGGATCTAATTAAACTAAAGAGCTTCTGCACAGCAAAAGAAACTATCATCAGAGTGAACAGGCAACCTACAGAATGGGAGAAATTTTTTGCAATCTGCCTGTCTGACAAAGGTTTAATATCCAGAATTTACAAGGAACTTAAACAAATTTACAAGAGGAAAACAAACAACTCCATCAAAAAGTGGGCAAAGGATATGAACAGACACTTCCCCAAAGAAGACATTTGCATGACCAACAAACATGAAAAAAGCTCAACATCACTGATCATTAGAGAAATGCAAATCAAAACCACAATGAGATACCATCTCAGGCCAGTCAGAATGGCGATTATTAAAAAAAAGAGAAACAATAGATGCTGGCGAAGCTGTGGAGAAATAGGAATGCTTTTACACTGTTGGTGGAATATAAATTAGTTCAACCATTGTGGAAGACAGTATGGTGATTCCTCAAGGATCTAGAACCAGAAATACCATTTGACCCAGCAATCCCATTACTGGGTATATACCCAAAGGAATATAAATCATTCTATTATAAAGACACATGCACATGTATGCTTATTGCAGCACTATTTACAATAGCAAAGTCATGAAACCAACCCAAATGCCCATCAATGATAGACTGGATAAAGAAAGTGTGGTACATATACACCATGGAATACTTTGCAGCCATAAAGAGGAATGAGGTCATGTCCTTTGCAGAGACATGGATGAGGCTGGAAGCCATCATCCTCAGCAAACTAACATAGGAACAGAAAACCAAACACTGCATGTTCTCACTCATAAGTTGGAGTTAAACAGTGAGAATACGTGGACACAGGGAGGGGAACAACACACACCACGGCCTGTTGGAGGGTGGTGGGCAAGGGGAGGGAACTTAAAGGATGGGTCAATAGGTGCAGCAAACCACCATGGTACACATGTACCTATGTAACAATCCTGCACGTTCTGCACATGTATCCTGGAACTTAAAGTAAAAAAAATAAATGAATAAATAAATAAAAGGACACTATAGATAAGGCTCTTGATTGTTTTACTTCAAACAGGTGTACAACCCTCCAACAAATCACTCCCTGAGACTTGACAGTTTTCAACTAAAAAATGGGGATATACACTCATCACAGAGCTGTGGTGAAAATCAAATGAGAATGCATACACAATTCTCAGTGTACTTCTGGCACAAAATAAAATCTGAAAACATGTTAGTAAAGAGAAAGCCTTAATTACCAAATGGATAGGTGACGGGGTGCTGAGCATGAAAAAGAAATTAGGAATACACAATGATTTTGAGCCTGTGCAACTAATGCTAGTCATAAGAATAGGTAAATCAGAAAGAAGAGTCCCAGTCAGTTAGATCAAGGGAGTGGGTGGCAGTAAGTAAGGAGAAGGTGATCAAATTTATTTTATGTATATGAACATAAAACCAAATAAATCACAAGGTGTTTTGGGCTACAGACTTAAAATAACTTGGTGCAGTACATCAAATACAAAGTTCCATGATAAAGTCTATGAATGCCGTCAAAGGCATAGGTAATTTAAAAGGAAACTTGATGTTTTACCCAATGATTCTTCTTTACATTTTCAAGCTTTCCAGCTTCCCTAGATTTGCAATCCCGTACATCACACACTTAGTAAAAATTGTGTGTGTGCACGTGCAGTTACGCCGACAACTGAAGTCAACAAACATTTACTAAGCATCAATTATGTGTAAAACACTATATATGAAAGTTTGATGGTGATGGTGGGAGGAATGGTGTATATAGAAAATAATGGGCCTTGTCCTTCAGGAAATCATAGTTCAGGAATAAAGAGGACTGTATAAGTAATACAAAGTAGACTCTGATAGTTTCAATAATGGAAGAAGCACAAAAAGTTTTGGTAGTTTAGGGGAAGAGTCTAACTAGAGAGAAGAAAATCAAGAAAACATCACATGGGATGGAACAATCTCAAATGATATTAAATGATGGCCAAGGAGGCTGAGGAAAAGGCTTTCAAGGCTGAGGGAGATGTCTGGAGTGTGGTGTAATCCTGGGTCAATGAATGCACAATACAGGGAGAAAGGTGAAACGTGTAGAAACACTGGCTGAATAGATGTACTGTAAGGGACAAGCCAGATTAAGGAGACAAGTTTATTCTGAATTCAGTGGGGAACATTCAAAGGTTTTTAAACAGGACAATGACATGCCCTGATGTAGGGCAGATATCAACTATCCATACTGGCAAAAGGGAAGAATGGAACCAGGGAAACTAGATGTGAGATTTTTTACAATCACATGTATACAAGTGGGTAGGTAGGATGGGACGAGGGAAAGCAGAGGAAGAACTTGTGAAACATTCAAAATTTTTTTTACAGGAATAGTCATAGCATATAAAGGGAAAAAAATAAAGATGACAGGTTTTGAATTTGAATGACTGTGGCCTTCTATGGAGAGAGAGAACTCAGGAAGAGGAACCAGTTTGCAGGGAAGGGTCCAGTAAGAAAAGTAATTCTGATTGGGAAATGTTGAAGGCAAAGAGAAAGGAACAAATGGTTTAGTGTTGGCAAAGTGCTGATCAGCATCATTCCCTTCTGTGTGTTATCTCAGATAAGACTGAAAGGAGGTACCTGTGGAGTATGTGTAGAGATGTGTAGTTTGGTCCATAGTTAGAAATAAGGGCTGTGGCTTGAGGAAAGGTGACAGCTAGAAACCATGATTTGGGTTTCCTCACAAGGTAAAATAATAGATGAAGCTGTGGAGTAAACATAACCCTCCAGGAAAGGCATGTTAAATGAGAAGACAAAAGAAGGGAGAGCATGTCCTTAAAGATAATCCAAATCATATTATTATTTGAATTGAAAAGGACATCTGTCTTGTTATAGACCTCTGGCTTCTGGATCTTCAAGAAAGCAAATGTTTAACAGAGTGTTCTGAATATTGTTTCTTGGTGTCAGCTCTGCTCTCACCCTTACATACTCTCTCCTGAACCATGGAGCATGGAAGACTGAAAATTACATTTCCCAAACTTTATTGGCAGCTAGGTTCTGCCAGGGGGAGGCACTTGCATCATTTGAGAAGATGGGAGAAGACATTATGTTTTGGTGGTGCCTCCAGTAGTTTCAGCAGGAGCAGTCGGTCAGGCAGAGGCAATTCAGCAGTATTGTGTGGGCTTCAGGGTTATGGGTGACACAACCTTCCTTCTTTTGCTCAACTGGGTCTTGCAAACAATTTCCTGTGTTAAATCCTCTCCTGTTTAAAATACCTGGAGAGGTTTTGTATACAGACTGATAGACACTTTGTATATCATATAAAGAAAATGTAAGACTAGAAATTAACCAACCTTTAAAAATTAGACTATACAGAGGATAGAAGCAATAATTTTAATTTTAAAAAGAAAAGCAATATCCTAAACGAATGCAACCCTATTTCAAGTGCATGAAACATGGACCATGAAGCTCCAAGTTTATTCAGTGAATACCCTTCAGAACAAACTGATTTAACTGAGTTAAAATAATGAAATGACATATTCCAGAAATTCCTCTTAGCAGAGAAACATAGAAGGGAGCCTAGATGCACTACGGGAAGAGTTCTTGAATTTCCCTGCTACAGACCAAGTTCAAATTGAGCTACAGGGTTCCTCAGGTGCACTGCCTACTGTAACATAAAGTTGGGCAACAAATACCCAACAGGGAAACAGTAATTGAACATAAATGTTATTAATAAAATAATTGTAATGGCAACTAATATGTAGAGCATTAACCATGTAATTAGCACTATATGAAGCACTAAACATATTTTATTTCATTTAACCCTCAAAATACTTTATGAGGTTGGTGCTATTATTATCCCTCTACAAATGAAGAAACCAAAGCTTGGAGAACTGAAGTTATTTGCCCATGGCCACATAGGTGGAAGTGGTAGAACATGAATAATTGATTTGCAATTTTAGAGAATGTACTTTTTCTAAATAAAGAAGAAATATGGAGGAAAACAATGCCTGATAGACTGGGTAAACTGGCCTTCAATTGTCATTAAGTCAAAACTAAGCCATCCTATGTTACAATTTTGGTGTGTAAAGAAATTGTTTTTGAGAGAGCTATTCAGAGCTAGAATTCTGTGTGAATTATACAAAATACATAAAATTGCCTCTAACCAAAAAAAGTCAGGAATCTGCTATTTTAGAATAATTTATGTTATCTTTTTCTCCAATTGGCCTGGGACTACTCTCTAAGGCAACATTTCAATGACAAAGAGATTGTTCCTGAATGTGCCTGGGGAAAAGCCATCATTGCTGAAGGAAGGCAAATATACTGTTCTTTCCCTAAGAATAAAAAAGTACTAAAATCTTTCTAGGCAGTACTATCCATTATGTGAAGAACTGACAGGGAATATAAATGGAATCCAGAGGGGAAAGAAGACTGAATTTAAGGTGACCCAGTTCCTGTTAAGTTTTATGGACTGAACACTGCCATACAGAGATTCAAAGTCATTTTCACCCTTATTCGTAGAGTGCATACAGCTAGACACAGATGCAACCAAACATGGGCATTCAAAAGAGTATGTGTTCTCACAGGTGAAAGAGGAGCTGTCTAGCTAGGTTGAGAAGAGTGAGTGAGGAGACAGGGGAAGTGGAAACTAGGTGAGATAGGAAGTGAGTAGTACATAGAAGAGAGAATCAGTGACTACTCCAGGGGCATCAGGAAGCCAGCAGAATGCTTTTTCTGAATAGCATGTTTTAGTTTGCAAAATATATGATTCTCATTGATAAGCTATGTGTTATGATTTTCTACATATTATAGATGATAAAACTAAGCTTAAGAGCAGTTAAATGATTTTCCAGGCTCTCAGAGTTTTGGAGAGCTAAAGCTGGGGCTGCCCCTGCCCCCAAATCTGGCACTTTTTGTCCTCTAAAACCAGTCATTGTAAATGAAGAATCTGAGGAACAAGCATGTGGATTTTACGAAATGTAGGTTTAAAAAATGTAAACATAGCAGGATCCTTAAAAAAGCACTCTCCATGTTTTGAAGAACAGCAAAATCACTAGAAATGACTGTGTACCTTACTACTGATAGCCCAGCTCCAATGTAATTTAGCAGCGGATTTGATACTTCTTCTGCATCCAATCCAAACCAGCCAAACCTGAAAATCCAGAAAGTCACATCAAATTAAATATTGTTAAGATGTTTCACCATAATGTTTAAGGGCATGGACTAGGGGCCAGATTCCTGGGTTCAAATGCTAGCTCTCTCACTTATTAGCTGTGACTTTGGGAAAGTTAATTATCTTCACTGTGCCTCAATTTCCAATTTTTTTAAATTAAAAAAAAATTTTTTTTTGAGATGGAGGCTTGCTCTGTCATCCAGGCTGGAGTACAGTGGTATGATCTTGGCTCACTGCAACCTCTGCCTCCTGAATTCAACCTATTCTCCTGCCTCAGCCTCCCAAGTAGCTGGGACTACAGGTGCCTGTTACCACGCCTGGCTAATTTTTGTATTTTTAGTAGAGACAGGGTTTCACTGGTCTTGAATTCCTGAAATCAAGCGATCCACCCACCTCGATCTCCCAAAGTGCTGAGATTATAGGCGTTAGCCAACGTGCCCAGCCTCCCATGTTTAAAATGGGATAATAATTATACCTACCTTATAAGTTTGTTACAAAGATTAAATGAGTTAGTATACATAAAAGTACTTGTGAGTGTCTCTTTCCTAAGACTAAAAAAGAAGTAGGAAAAAGTAGTTCACCTGACTCATGGAAGGTTAATTAATTGGTTACAATATTGTATAATATTTGGAGTAGACTTTTAAAAAATTTCTAGGTTAAATATCCCTACTCTGTCATCACCACAATTTTTTTTTCCTGCCTGACATTGCCGTGATCATTACCAAGAATCACTGAGAACCATCCAGGGGCAAGAGGAAAGGAGAAAAGAAGGAAAAGAAAAAGAAAATAGCAGGAGGTGGGGAATGGGGGAAGGATGGGAGAGAATGTATTGGAAGTTAGTAAGTTGGTTTGTTTTGTTGTTTTGAGGTGGTTATAATGCTTTGAGTGGAAAGGGAGTCCAAAAGGTAAAGTGAGAATAACACCCCACATTCCACTCATTTTCCCAAAATTGATTTGAATGTTAATCTTAATGCTGACCAAGGGCACCAGTCTGATAGAACTTTGTGTAATGATGGGACTGTTCTCTATCTTCACTGCACAAAAGAGTAGCCTCTCCCCATATTAGCTACTGAGCACATCAAATGTGGCTAGTGCAACCAAAAAACTGGAGGTTTAATTTTATCAACTTTTAATTAATTTAAATTTAAATATAAATGGCCTCCTGTGGCTTCTGGCTACACTATTGGACAACACAACGCTAGAGCTGGGACTGGCAAACTTTTTCTCGAAGGCGGTTGTAGATAATTTAGGCTTTGTGGGTCAGTTATTCCCTTGCTGCTCAACTCTGCCACTGTAACATAAAAATAGCCATAGACAATCCTTAAATGGATGGGTTTGGCTGTGTTCTGATAAAACGTTATTTATAGAAATGGCTGGGAAACCAGACCGTGCTTTGCCAACCCTGCTCTAGAGGAAAGAATATGTGCTCTGGAACTAGAAGACCTGGGTTTGAATCCTAGCTTCTTAGTTCTGTGACCTACAGTAAGTTACTTAATCTCTTTTTATCTACTCTCTTATAAGATAGTGCTTACCTCACGTATTTGTGAAAGTGAGATGAGAATGATGCATAGAACATGTCCAGCAAATTGTCACACAATAGAAAGGGACAATAAAAATCAGTTTCCTTTTTCTCTCTCTACCTCTGTTTCCCAGATTTAATGCTACACTATATCTTGATCAAATATCTAGATCACTTATTAAGAATTTAGGGCAAATAGCAATAGAAGGTGGCATATATGATGTGTATGTTTTACCAGCTATAAACTCTGTGAGAATAAGAATCATATGTTATTCCTCTCGGTAATCACTTGCTTTACATAGAATATGGATGCAGGAAATCTTAGTTGAACTAGTTTGACTTGAATTACCTTGAGCTTGCCCAGCCAGTTAAGGCATTAAATGATCCCCAGATTAAGATTCCAAGGCCTAAACCAATGGTTTTGATAATTGGGACAACAGCAATGTTCCCTGTAGATGTAATATACAGAAGAAACATGTTATTTCCATATAGAAAATACATTTATAAATAGAATTAGTTTTTATTCTAACTTCAACTGAAGTGCATGTGATTTGGACAAATTTAGTAAAGCACAGTTCCTTATTTTTTCAGTAAAATAACCACATTTTTGGCATTAAATTTATGAGTATGTGTGCTAAAAGAACTAGGCTTAGGAAAAAAGTCTACAAAGAAAAGTGTTGAATTCCTAATTGTACAGAGGTTTCTCTCCCTTAGCATAGCTCTCTATTCTGTGATTCTTCATGGAAGCTGTCAGTGATAAATTATCAGTGACCATCCTCTTAGACTTGAATTAGGGCCAAATACTGGCAGAAGTACTTGGCCATAAAACAGGCCCAGAATTTGCTCTTCCATGATTGCTGATTTGTCTTCTGGATTTCTACATTCATTCTCTTATGTTTTGAGGGTCACTGAGGGCCAAATACATAATTTTTTTTTTTTTGTCTCAAGTCCTACAGTCTCTTCTTAAAAGGTTACCTCTTTAGGATTCCATGATGTCTTCATCTCTTGAGTCTCCTCCTGTTTTTCTCTTTAGCTCTTTCTCTGGCTACTATTTTTCATCATTCCTTCTGGAATAAGGTACCCCCTAAAGATTTTCCCTTGAACATATTTGTCCCCTTGCTTTATTGTCCTTTGGGTACTTGACCTAATTTCATGATTTCAGCTACCAGCTAAAGGTGCGTGTTCCCAGTGCTACAGTTCTAACCTGGACCTACTTTAGGGTTTTAATATTATTCTCCAAACCATCAAGAAGAAATCTCCAACCAGATGTTCTCTATGGTAGAAACATCGGGATGTTCATGCTCAGAAAGTGCCAAGCTGAACCCATCATTTTCTCTTTCAAACATGTTCTTTTTCCTATTTCCACATATGTGTCAATACCACCACCCTCCTAATCACCTATAATCAAATCTCTACATTATCATTGGCTCCTCCCATTCTGCTATGTCCTATATGCTATCAGTTGCTCCAACCTATAGCATCCACATCTGCAACATATCTCAAATTGGACTCTTTCCCCACTGACACCCAGTGGAACCTGCTGGGTGAACAGAAATGCTCTGGTGGCTATAAAGAGCTGCAGGATGGATGGATGCTTAGTCTGTTCCTCTCCCCCTGTTAGATATGACAAGCAATCATACTGAGGTATAAGTGAGGTATAATAATGTAAATCCTGGTGGGAATTTAAAAGCGAATTCTTTTATCTTCTAACTTATGAACTTCACTAAATCATTTAACTCCTCAGAGACTCAAATTAAGTGGGTAATAAATAAATTTTCATTTTAATTTTTTTAATAAAGTTTTAACATTTTAACATTTATTTGCTTTTAATGCAAATTATTTCTAAAGATCACTGATACTTGGAATTCTCTTTGTTGAAGAAAAAAAGACCTCCTGGGGTGTATTTATATTAATTGAAGGGAAACATTTCTTGATTGGCCAAGCCAAGGTATGAATTCTAATTATATAATTTCAGGTACTGATAAGGCAACAGGAAGATTTTTGTTTGCTTTGCTTTTCTGTTAACCAGCCCTTTTGAAATGATAGTATCTTCACATTGGCCTAATTAGGTTAAGTCCTAAAAATTTTATTAGTAGAGATTACTATTTAATAAATATTTTCTGATAAACATGCTAGAAAAAAGGGCCAGAACACATTAAAATAATATATGAGCTATGCTTGAATAGATGGAGAATAATTAAAATGTTTTTACTATAATAATTTTCTACCAGGAACTTAAAAATAAATCATTAAGAGGAATAAATCAGGTGGAACAAATCAGGTAAGGCACCAAAAATATTCATTGAGCATGTGAAGGCAAGAAACTAGTTAATTTCTAGTATCTATGACTAAGGGTTATTCAGAATCACTGTTTGCGCTATTTCCTCCTATTGTGAACGAGAATTATTTTTATCATTATGTTACATAATAAAAGTATAAGTTATATCAGACATTACCTGTTGCCCAAATGCAGCCCCCAAGCATTGCAAAAGGCCAAAACTTTGGACAATGTAATATCAGATTGACAACCAAGGCAACCAACCATATGGCAGCACAAAGAACCCACTGGAGAAACATTCCTAGAAATAAACAAACTCAGTGTTAGTGGTTCAAATTGAATTGAGTAAATTTGTGCTCAGGAATATCTATGAGGTGATATTACAGGAATGGCCACAATTTATTAAATGCCATATGCCATGGACTTTGCACATTTCATTCTTATGACTACTCTGCAACATAATTAACCCTAGCTCAAAGATAGAGAAAATGAATCTTCAATTAAGCAACCTGTCCAAACAGCTAGTAGTTTGTTGAGCTGGAATTTAAACCCAGGTTGACTCCAAGGCTTAGACACGGTGTGCTCTGGCTTAACATTCTTTTTTTCCTCCTATTAGACAAATCAAGAATTTTCTGCCCAAGAGTGATGGCAAGACCGAGTGTATATTCTCATTCAGATGCCACACTGAGTACTCTTGCTTCCCAAAATATGGCAGTAAGTGCTTCGGAATAGCACAACAGTAAACCTTCAGGGACCATTTATGCCACCTCTGGGATAAAAATAAAGCCATTTATGGTCACACATAGGCCTCATACAGTTAGAGTTCAATGCCTATGATGAGTCGGGCATTATAAACCTGAGAATTAGCTATCTAGGTCAAGGTTACTCTGCTTTCTATACTTTGAGTTGCCATTTTCCAGTTATCTGAAGATAACCTGGTGATGAGGTGTATCTGTACCTTTTTGAGGCTTCTGCATCATTAAGGATTTAGAGATTAAAAGGATGAGGAAATAGTTGACATTGAAAGAAATACTGAGGCAGTTAAAACTCAATGTATTACTTCTGGCACTAACTTTGGAAGATTGTTGCCCCTCTTGGATTCAATCTCATGATGGAGGAGAGAGAAAAGATGGCTGCTAATCTCCATGACAAAAGAGTAGAATCAGCCAGGCGTGGTGGCTTAGGCCTGTAATCCTAGCACTTTGGGAGGCCAAAGTAGGTGGACTGCCTGAGCTCAGGAGTTCGAGACCAGCCCTTGAGATTCCGTCTCTACCATAAATATAAGAAATTAGCCGGGTGTGGTAGTGTGTGCCTGTAGTTCCAGCTACTTGGCAGGCTGAGACATGAGAATCACTTGAACCCTAAAGGTGGAGGTTGCTGTGAGCCAAGATTATGATACTTCACTCCATCCTCGGTGAAAGAGTGAGACTCTATCTCCCCAAAAAAATGAAAAATAAAAAATAAAAAGAGTAGAATCACAGAGATGAAAAGAAACTTCATTTTATAAGTTGTTCACTTTACAAATGAGAAACTGAAAACAGCAGAGCTGGTAATATTTGCCCAGGATCACAAAGCTAATTGTGGAAGACTAAAAAAGCTAGATCCTCTACCCATTTTTTTGTTCTTCGGGTAGTTCCCATTCTTGTCCTAACTCCAGAGGAAAAGAGAAGAAAGGCCCTGGAGGAAAATAGGAGGTAATCCTATTTTCTAAGTGCACGAAGACAAAGAATTGGGGAAATAACACAACTGCTGTCAGGTGATAAATACTACCAAGGAAGTAATTCCCAACATGTGTTCACCATAAATCTCAATTCCTTCTCCTGGCTTTAATATGGAAGTCAGGCAAATACAAATAACTCTTGCTTCTCCTTCCCCAAAATTCACATTAGTCAGTTCTGCTATAATGTAACATGTGCATTCCTTGAAATCACTGCACTATGCAAAATCATGCAGTAAAAACTACAGAGCATAATGGGAAAATGGGGCTAGGAGAACAACACTCAACCTAATTAAAATAGTAGTACAGTTTTAACTGGTTAACTGGTTAATTACATGATGCTGTAATAAATAGGGCATTTTAATTGAAAAACACCAGAAGTTTGCTCCTGGAAGTGAGCATCCAAAGGGTTGCAGCTTACGAGTTACTGTGAAGGTATTGGGTGAGGAGTTGGGACAGGAGATGTGGTTGGGTGGAATACATCATAACCACATGTGATGAACTAAGGGAGCTGGTCGATATTTGAAGATTGTACGTGTGTCTGCGTGCATTATGTGTATTATCACACATCTTTATTCATCTAGGTGCAGTCTTCTGTGCCTATCTAGAGGTTTCTCAGGGACAAAATTGCACATAAGCAAGCCAAAAATCTGTTATGCTTACATTGTTCTCTAATATATCAATCATGTTGAAGATTCATGTTTTCAAAACAGGTGTTATAGTAGAACTGACTATAAATTTCTTCCATTCATATAATGGCCCAAGAGATTTCCTGACTGTACCCTCCCTAACTTTACCATGAAACAACCTTAATGGTTCTCCTATTCTGACTTTCAGACAAACTGGTATGAGCACTGTCAAATGACTAATTTTAAGCTCTATTCACTAGGTATCAAGATCAACATGATTTATTTTTGTAGCTATACTTTTAAAAGACCAAAAAAGGAACTTCATTTTTAAAAATAATATAACGTTAACAATCAAGGAAAAATAATTACCATCACCAGTATCAAATTTTTTAAGTGGCACAAAATTTGAGCCAAACAAAAGGATAGCTACAAAACAGGAGATGTAACCAAAGGTTAGGTCTGCTCCATTGTTGCTCATGATTCCAGTCTTAATGAGTTAGCTGGTTCACTTTAGACTTGATGTACTTTTCAGGAGCTTCTGAAATAAAAGAAAAAATGAAACAATTGAGACGTGAATCTGTGACCAAATTGTGATTAACATATTATATTTATTGAATTTTTCAAAAGCACGCTAAGACTCCTTTTTGCAGATAGGATATTACACAACTATATATAATGTTTGTACTTCATGTTAATTTATTCTATCACCAAATATTTTTGATCACTAGCCTACAATTTAAAAAGAACAAGCCCTGAAGACAAATTTTTAGTACATTACAAAAAAAATTCTCCTGTGTAGGTTCCATCACTGCAGAAAGTTTTAGCGGATAACGCTGCTAAGCTTATTTAACAGCTTTAGCTTCTCTATGAAGAAAGGACTAAAACCACAAATAACCAAGAATTAGACATTTTTTCATAAAGTTACCATTTGGAAAAGGCCACTGAATACAATTCAGATTTTTAGTTTCCCGAGATACATGAGAAAAAAGCACCACCAAAGTAATTTTATCACAGGAGGTACAGCGTCTTTCCACAATGCCATCTTGGATTCATATTTTGCACACTGGCCCTTTGGAATAAGCCCTCTGGAATAGAAGCAGAATAATCCAGTGGTTTCTTTTTTCCTGCAAATTTAATGTTATAGTAATAACTTCTTGTATATATGTATTGAATAAAGTACACCTGAAATCACCTTTCCTTGTTATTTTATTTCACAATGACAAATATTTAAAGGTCCATGTATTGTTCCTTATGTGTTCTTGCAGAGAATATTAAATATACAACAACCTACAAAATATGTTATTTACCATTATTAAAGATAGTTTAACTGAAAACAAGGATCACTTCAAAACTGGTCAATAAACTTTAGTAAAGAAAATGTGTATTTGAAATTGTGTGGACTTTCTTAAAACAAAAACACATTGCTATTAAGAAAACATCCTCTATAGGGATGTGGTTGAGGAAGACACACTGAGGCACATTTCAACATTGACACATTAACACTATTCAATAAAAATAATTATTATTCTACTGTTAGGCTCAAAGAGAGGTTCAGCCCTGCAGTGACTTACATGGGTTATGGCTCAAGGGTCAGCTGAGGCAGGTGCTTGCTGCTAAGATAACAGAGGTGCCAAGATAACAGAGGTGCAACAGGTCAGAGATGCAGGAAGTGTCTTGAAAAGCTAACCTATGACTAAAAAGACACATGACTGGGTGATAGCTAACACATCATTTTCTCCCCATTTTAATTCACAACAAGCAAAGCAAAACAAAACCTTTATGTGTACATTGATAGAAGAGAATGTCTAACCTTCAAGAGTGGCAAATTATTTTATTGAGAAGGCTCCACAAAGGCCCTACACCTCTGAAACGGAGAGACTAATTTGACGTGCTAATTAGAGTGCATGAGGTGCATTTCGACTACTGAATAAACATCAATCAGTTATTACCTATAGATAAATGAAGTTTATTGCATGCAGCTCTTGTACATTTCAGAGCATGTGATCTTATTTCATTGTGAATTGGCAATAACTTACTGTCTTTAAAAAGGCTCTACCGCTCTCTAAAATAATGAAATTTTTGTGGAAAAGAAAAGCAGTATCACTCCATCCAGCACATTTTTCCCAATTCTTCCTGCACAAAACCTAAAAAGTCTCAAACATTATTTTAATGTTTTCTTTTCAGCGTTCGCTGATATTTTGTCAAACTATATTAATTCATTTTTATTTTATTACTTTTGTTTCATTTATTAGTAAATACTTCTCCTTTACATTTTTCCTAGTAATTTAAACTTCTACGCAGACTTTGAAAAAATTCGTATTTGGTATGTTCTGATCAATACTGCTTGCTCCACTCCAACTAAAATTTCATTTTTAGTTTCATGTTGATTTTCCCAAATCTCCAGGCAAGTACCGCCTGTCTTTGGGCTAAAATTAACAGTGCTTGAATGTATTTATTCCGAGCCTTGATTTTTCTTTTTAACCATGAGCACGTTTCTGAAAAATCATGAGACGCTCCCCTGCAAAGCGACTTGGCTTTCCTTTGAGTGGCTGTACTCACTGCGTTCCGGGCTGGCGGCTGAAGCTCCTTCCTACTCAGCGCCGGCGCGATCCGCCCACTACGTGCCAGTGTGGAGCCGGAGCCTGACTCATTCCCTCTACGTGCTGGGGGCGGCCTGGCCAGCCTTTACTTTCTGCGGGGACAATTTCCCATACACCGGCCGGGAGGAGAGGGGAGGGCTCTAGCACCCGTGACCCAGACTCCCGTTCCCAGGGTGCTCGCGAAGAGCGCCAATCCAGCCTTGACTTCCTGCTGGGACGTTTACCTCCACTTAAGGAGGGTGGAGAAAGGAGGGCTTTAGCACCGGTGACCTAGAGGCCTTCATAGGACAGCAGGTTGGGGAACGCCTTCCTTCAGTTGCTGTGCTGGACTGAATTGTCAGGTGGCTCAAAAGGAGTCGTCAAGCCCTGGGTCGGTCAACCAGGAAACTAGAAGAGTTTTGTGTATTTCAAGAGGTGATTATTCAGGAAACTCTCAGCATGTCACCCTCTCTAAGTGTCACAGAGGGAGGTATTATTTGTGCAGTTTATGGATAAAACAAAAGTCTGAGGAATTTCACACCATTGTAAAAGATTATCTCAAGTGAATTTTTCCACTTGGTATTAAGAAATTCATCTGCACCACTGACGTCATTAACATTTCTTGTGACATTACAAGATTTCACTTGTAATCACTAATTCTTTGTAGATGCACCTAAGCCATTTATCTGTACAGGCCATTTATCTGTATTTTTTTTTTTTAAGACGGAGTCTCGCTCTCGTCCAAGCTGGAGTGCAGTGGTGCAATCTCGGCTCCCTGCAACCTCCGCCTCCTGGGTTCAAGCGATTCTCCTGCCTCAGCCTCCTGAGTAGCTGGGACTACAGGCACCCACCACCACACCTGGCTAATTTTTTTGTATTTTTAGTAGAGACGGGGTTTCACCGTGTTAGCCAGGATGGTCTCGATCTCCTGACCTCAGGTGATCCGCCCGCCTCGCCCTCCCAAAGTGAGGGAGTCCTCTCAAAAAAAAAACAAAACAAAAAAAACATCTCTTCATGTGGGTTCGCATACACCAAAGGATGCAAACTTTAAGTTGGAAAGGGGAAGTGTAGGTTCTGTGCTAGTCTGAGTTCAAAGAAGCCTTCTCTGAGGAAGTGCTATTTAACCCGAGACCATCCAGTGGTTGGTAATGGGTGTAGCATTCACAGGAAGGAGAAAACACAAGGACTGTTAAAATATGACATTTCCTAGAAGGAAGTTCTGCCTTAAACATTAATCACATCCATAGACTATCATGTCAGATGAGCAGATGGGAAGGCAAAATAACATTTCATTTAAAGAATTAAAGCAGCAAAGCTTTTTCACTTAAGGAAGAGGATTAATTTAGCAGTTCAGAAAGATTTTGAAGAAATCAGTTCCCCTTTCCACACATGCACACCTAAGACACACACACATACACAAACTTGCTTCCAAAAATATAGGGCCTAAATCCAACCTAGAATTGTTTCACTTCATGGTCACAAGATCATGTGGTTTATTCTTGCTTCACTCACATGGAGAAACTGAAGCTTGTGTCAGCATTTGCTGAGAATTTCTAAAGTCTAAAAGTGAGTTGGGGGCTGAATTAGGCCTGAGAAGATTCATTAGGGATATGCTAGGCCATTGCCTTTTACATTATGCCACAGAGCAAATCCAAACATGCATGACTCTATTCTTAAACTAAAATTTTTCTTTCAAATTGTTTCGTATACATGAATGCCTAAACAGAATGGTCTGTATTGGGAGAGTCCTGGCAGACACTAGAAGATCCAGGTTCTGACTTTAGCTTCGTCTGTTAGCAATATTTCTCATGGAAACTCATTTAATCTCTTTAAACCTTAGTTTTCTTATATGTAAAATGATAATAATAAGACCTGTGCACCTCCCCCTTTTATGTGGTCAAAAGAGATATATATATATATATATATATATATATATATATATATATATATATATATATAACATTATTACTAGGACTTCTGGTTTCTGCTCTGACATTTGAAAGGTGTGAAAGTCTCCACTTCCATCATCACAACAAGAAAAAAATGAGCAAATCAAAAATCAACTACTCTTTTTAGATCTGCAGAGAATTGATGTCATAGGACATGCCACCTCTTTGCAAACTGAAGAAATAGGTGAATACGGAGAATTACAGCTTATCAGGACAGCAAAAGCCACTGGAGCCAGTAAAGGATAGGGGGGCATTTATACAGTATTTGGCCTATTGCTGAAGGCTGAGTGTGGACTAACTTGAGAGTTGAAAACTCAGAGACAGTGGGAGTCATTCATATGGGAGCATCCACACATTAATGAGTTTTACTTTCAGAAGACAGGACAAAAGTTTCCTCTTTTTTCTGGCATGTGGGAGGAAAACAATAACTATTTGAAATATACTCAGAAACAAAAGCCTGTCCTCAAGGTAAACTTTACCCCAGAGCTTTATCTGAATTAGAGAAAAGGCAACTAGACAGTTTGAACACCTTCTACACTTTCTTTCTCACATAAGGAGAAAAACAAAAGAAGAAACCCTTATGAAGTTCACAGCTCAGGGATTCTGGACAACTAGAAAACAGAGTTTTAGATGTTGGCAAAGATACAGAGAAAAGGGAATGCGTATATACTGTTAATGACAATGTAAACTAGTAAAACCCCTACGGAAAACAGTATGGGGATTTCTCAAATAACTGAAAATAGAAGTACCATTTGGCCCAGCAATCCCACTATTGGGTATCTACTTGAAGGAAAAGAAATTGTTATAATCAATGACACTGGCACTCATATATTTATTGGGGTACTATTCACAATTAGGAATCATCCTAAGTGTCCATCAGTAGTTGATTGGATAAAGAAGATGTGGTATATATAAACTATGGAATATTACGCAGCCATAAAAAGGAGTGAAATCATGTCCTTTGCAGCAACATGAATGGAGCTAGAGGCCATTATCCTAAGTGAAATAACTCAGACAGAAAATCAAGTACTGCATGTTCTCACTTATAAGTGGGAGCTAAACAATGGGTACACATGGACATAAAGGTAAAATAATAGATGCTAGGGACTCCAAAACAGGGAAACGTGGGAGAGGAGAGCAGATTGAAAATTATCTATTGGCTGTAATGTTTACTATTTGGGTGATGGGTTTACTAGAAGCCCAAACCTCACCATTACAGAATCTATCCATGTAGGAAACCTGCACATGTGCCTCCTGAATCTAAAATTGTTTAAAAAGAAATAAGAATTTAAAAATAGAGATTTTATCATAACATTATAGAATGTATCAACTCTCCAATATCTTACGACCACATAAATAGTGTTTTGGTATAATAACTGTGGATCACAACTAGAGAGAGTTGCAAGACACAGACTCTGCTTAAAAATGAGTCTCTAGGAAAACCCAAAGACAACAAATAGGGGAGACAAAAAGAAAGATATTAGAGAAAATAGAAGCCTCTGATACTTACAGCTACAACAACCATTAAGCACAGTCTAACTTCTGGCCCAATACACATAAAAACTAAAGGTCTACTTATCTTGTTTTCTATTATCTGATACATCATGCCTCACTTTCAATGAACAATTATAAGGCATGCTAAAAGGCAAGAAAAAACACAGCTCTGAAATGTCAAAGCAAGCCTCAGAACCAGATTCAGATATGGCAGGGATTTGGGAATTATGAGACTGGAAATTTAAAATATGCTATGACTAATATGCTAAGAGATCAACTGGGAAAAGTGCAAGAACGAATAAACAGAAAGATGAAAACTCAAAGAATCAAAAGGAAATGTTAGAGAACAAAAAATACTACAATAGAAAAGAGAATCACTTTTGATAGCTGCAAAAGAATCAGTGAGCTTGAAGGTATGTCAGTTGAAACTTCCCAAACTTAAATGGAAACAGAAAACAGAATAGGAAAAAGAAACACAATTTCCAAGAACTGTATGAAAATTACAAAAGGCATAAAATACAGGTAATAGCAATACCAGAAGGAAAAGAAAGAAAGCAGCAGAAGATACATAAATAATAGTTATCTAGGTATCTAATAATGGTGGACAACTTTCTAAAATTAATAACAGACATCAAACCACAGATCCAGGAAGATCAGATAACACCAAGCAAGATAAATTTTAAAAAAACTACATGTAGGCATATTGTATACAAATTGTGGAAAATAAAGAGAAAATATTGAAAGGAGTCAGAGGAAAAACTATCACCTTACTTATAAGGAACAAGGATGAGAATTAATCAGACTTCTCAGACACCATGCAAGGAAAAAGAGAGTAGAGTGAAATATTTAGAGTGTTGAAAGAAAAATCCACCAACCTATAATTTGTTTCTTATTCTTAATTGATCGCATAGATAACTTCAAAATAATAATATCAGTAATATATTGGGTGATATTAGTTTATGAATAAATGAAATAAATGACAGCAATGCTTTAAGGAACAGGAGAGAGGCACTGGGAATAATCTTTTATACAGTACCTGCACTACCTGTGAAATGGTATAGTGTTATTGAAAAGTGGACTTAGTTGTAAATGTGTACTGCAAACTCTAGGACAATTTCTAAAAACATATTTTTAAGTATAATTGATATGCTAAGAGAGGAGAGAAAATAGAATCATATAAAATGCTCAATTAAAACTAGAAAAGGGAGCAAAAGAGGTATATTAGTCTATTTGCAGACTACTATAAAGATACTACCTGAGGCTGGGTAATTTATAAAGGAAAGAGGTTTGACTCACAGTTCTGCATGGCTGGGGAGGCCTCAGGAAGCTTAGAATCATGGCAGAAGGCGAAGGAGAAGCAAAGGCATGTTGTACATGGCAGCAGGTGAGAGGAAGCAAAGCGGGAAGAGCCCCTTATAAAACCATGGGATCTTGTGAGAACTCACTCACTATCACGAGAACAGCATGGGGAAAACCACCCACATGACCCAATCACCTCCCACCAAGTCCCTCTCTCAACAGGTGGGGATTATGGGGATTACAATTCCACGTGAGATTTGGGTAGGGGCACAGAGCCAAACCATATGAAGAGGGGAGGACAAAAAAGGGAAATAATTACAAGGGCAACAAACAGAAAACAATTAATATATGGGAAATATTAATCCAACTCTATCAAGTATCACTAAATATAAATGGTCTACCAATTAAAAGACAACGACTGATTGAATAAAATACAGGCATCAACTCTACGTTGTTTACCAGAAATCCATGTTAATTATAAAGACACAAAAGGAATGGAGAAAGTTATATTTTTCTTTTCTTTCCTTTTTTTTTTTTTAACCTTTGAAACAGGGTCTCACTCTATCACCCAGGCTGGAGTACAGTGGCACAGTCATGGCACACTGCAGTCGTGAACTCCTGAGCTCAAGTGATCCTCCCACCTCAGTCTGTTGAGTAGCTGGGACTGCAGGCATGTGCCACCACAACAAGCTAATTTTTAATTTTTTGTAGAGATGAGGTTTCACTATGTTGCCCAGGCTGGTCTTGAACTCCTGAACTCAAGAGACCTTCCTCCTTCAGCCTCCCAAAGTGCTGAGATTACAGCATGAGCCACCACGCCCAACAAAATATATTTTTCTAACACTAATCAAAGGAAAGCTAGAATAACTATTTTAACTTCAGACAAAGCAAACTTCAGACAAGGAAATTATTAGGAATAAAGAAGGCCATTACATAATGATAAAGGGGCCAGCTGTCCAATAAGCCATAACAATCCTGTGTATGCACCTCACAACAGAGTGTCAAAATAGGTAAGGCAAAAACTGGTAAAACTGCAAGGAGAAATAGACACAAATAGATTATTGCAGTTGGGGTTTTCAGTATTCCTCTATTAGTAATTGGCAAATCGAACAGGCAGAAAATCAGTAAGAATATAATAGAAGTGAACAGTACCATCATCACCTGGGTTTAATTGATAGTTATATCTCATTCAACTGCAGCAAAATACGCATTCTTCTCAAGCTCGTATAGAACATTAACCTAGATACACTACATCTGGGGCCTTTTGCATGTGTCAGAACCCATAGAGCTATACAACATACAGAGTGCACTCTAATGTAAACAATGGACTTTAGTTCATAATAATGTACCAATATTGGTTCATCAACTGTAAGAAATGTACAACTCAAACGCAGATGTTACTAATAGAACTGTGAGAGAGTAGAGAGGGGTTATATGAGAACTCTATTCCTATCTCCTCGATTTTTTTCATAAATCTAAAACTGCTCTGAAAATAGTGTGCGAAAATGTCATTATTTTAAATTTGTGATTATTTTATGGCAGTTAAACTATTTTCTCAGCCTGGTGAAGGAAACCAACCCCCTAAATGATCTTATCATATTTGCATATATATTTATATATTTAATATTGTATACAAACATGAAATATAAATATATTTATTATTTATTAAATATGTCTTTATTAAACATATTTAATATTGACCAACATATTAAATATTAAATATATTAATGTAGAACATTTATATATTAAATAGATATTTAAATACAATGAGATTATTGACGGGGTTGGTTTACTTTACAGGCCGAGGAATATATATTATATGTATTTAGATATGATGAAATAATTGATGGGGTTGATAACTGATAATTGATAATACATATTTGCCCATTTATTTAAATGTATATTTAACTCATTTGACTATCTTTTTACCCATTCACCAAATACAAGAATACTTAAAAAGTGAGAAATCTACTGCCAAGTGGTATTTTATTTTTGTCTATAGAATCAAAACCAATACCAATATTTTCCATATTTAATCTCTGAACACTTGTTTATCTTTTTATGATCTTTTGAGATGTTTGGGTGTGGGAACTTTAAAAAAATCTAGGCTACTTACCCTCCTTCCCCGAGTTGCTAAATGATCCTACAGACTGAGTGTATCTGCTGCTCATTTTGAGGATCTCTGTGTATAATGAGAAATGATGACTGGTGAAGGCAGTAAAAAACCTGCTGATTCATTGGATAACATAATCAACCACTTTATTGTTTAAAATAACCCTTCCTCTGTTTTTTGGAAATGGAGAAGGAATCAATTTAACACGTAATTTTCAAGCAGAATTTTATTATATCATAGAAGCAAACAAAATTTTCCAAGAATAATCTGAAATTAGGAAAAATGTGCCATTTTACTGAGAAATAATGATGCTGTGTTGAAATGTTTCTCTCCTGATTCAAAGTATATTTTTCGTGTAAAATGTTTTACAATAAGAATACCCCAGGTTGGGCACAGTGGCTTATGCCTGTAATCCCAGCAGTTTGGGAAGCCGAGGTGGGTAGATCACTTGAGGTCAGGAGTTCAAGACCAGCCTGACCAACACGGTGAAACCGCGTGTCTACTAAAAATACAAAAAATTAGCCAAGCGTGGTGGCGGCGCCTGTAATCCCAGCTGCTTGGGAGGCTGAGGCAGGAGAATCGCTTGAAACTGGGAGGTGAGCTGAGATTGAGCCACTGCACTCCAACCTGGGTGACAAAGCGATACTCTGTCTCAAAAAAAAAGAAAAAAAAAAGAAAAAAAAGAATATCCCAATAAATAATAAAAATATTACCTTTGTTGATTTTAAAGATTTATTCCTTGAAAAGTTTACAATTCTGTAATTATAATAAACTGAATCAAAGATACCTGTAATAATTTGTTGTGAGCTTAAGAAAAGACTAGTATACTTACTTATATTTGTATTTATAATTTACTTAATTTCATAAAGTCTTTGAAGCAATATAGAATAAAAACAATAAAATAATAGGAACAAAGGAAAAAACCTAGGAAATTAAGAAAGTCAAGATGAAACAAAACAGAGTTTAGATGCCAAGAACACATAGTTACAATAGATGACTTTCAATTTTGGTCTGAGTTTCACAAGGGAAAAGGCAAACAGTGGGTTAGGATAGCTTCCTATTTAACTGCTATTTTTGTGAGACAGTTCTTCACGAAAGAAAAGGTTTTTCTAGTAGTAAATTTCAGAAGTGGCTAAAGTGGGGGTAGAGATCTAAAAATAAAGATAAATCAAAAGATTTATCTTTGAGGCATTTTTAAAGGTACTATTACACTCTTATACTCTTAACACTGGTGTATTCATTTGACAAATTTCATGGAGTGTCTACTGTAAATCAGACACTCTTCTAGACATTGGGAACAGACAAAAACCCCTGCACCAACTTAGCTTACATCTGAGAAAGGGAAACCAGAAAATAGATGACAAATATGGTATATGAAATAGTGATATGTGCTAAGGAAAAAAAAATTAAGGAGCTAGGAAGACTAGAGACTCTGTGTGTGTGTGTGTGTGTGTGTGTGTGTGTGTGTGTAGGTTGGGGGTACTGCAGTTTAGGAAAGGAAGTCCTCACTGAGAGGGAGACATTTCAGTGAAGGCCTGGAGGAGGGAGTGGGAGTGGGGAGAGAGTGTCCAGTACAGAGGCCCTGAGGCAGATTTGAGAAAGGGCAAAGAAGTCACTGTAGCTGTGGTTGAGGTGGAAAGAAGGAGAGTGGTAGAAAATGGAGTTAGAGAGGTAATGGGGGTGGGAAGAATGTGAGGGGCCTCACAGGCCTTATGGACTTTGGATATTTCTCTGAGAGAAATGGGGAACCTCTGAAGTGTTTTGATCACAGGAGATGTATTAGTCATCTGTTACAGGGTAATAAATACAGCCAACCAAAATGTAGTGGGTTAAAAGAACACTAAGTACGTATTATCTCTCATAGTGTCTGTGGATCAATAATTTGGGAGCAGCTCAAGCAGGTCTTCCTACTCAGGGTTTCTCATCAGGTTGCAGTCAGACCTGGGCTAGGGCTCTGGCCACCTGAAGAGGTGGTTAAGTCGAGAGGATTCACGTCCCAGGTGGTTTACTCACGTGACTGACAAATTGGCTGTAGCTGATGGTGGGAGATCTCAGGCCTTCTTGACATGGGCCTCACCACAGGACTGCTTGTCTCATGGAATGTCACTGCCCTTCCACAGAGTGAGAAATCCAAGAAGGTGGCTGTGTCCTTGTCCTCTATGACTTCACATCTGAAGTCACACATCATGCCTTCTGCAGTGTTCTATGAGTCATATGGTTCATCCTGATTTAGGCTGTAAGCAGATTGCATCATGGCGCGGATACCAGGAGGTGGGGATCATGGGGGTCCATCCTAGAGGCTGACCCAAGCAGAGGAAAGGAGATAATTACTGGAACAATGTCTCCCCATAGGCATGAGTATATGGAATTTAGTGCAAAAGGAGAGGAAATAGCCTTTGTTAGGGACACAGAGGGATCTTTGATAGTAATAGTATATAGGTGCAGTTAGAGGAGGTAGGAAGATCTTGTGGTGAGAGCTTGTACACATTCTCATCTAATTTTTTCTCTGTTTCTCAGTGAAAAGGAAACAAGGTCATAGGTCAAGAGTGAGGATTGGGAAGAAGGTGTTTGTTAGAGGTTCATCAGTATTTCAAGTTTTTCAGTATCTTTTAAGTGATGCAGTGCTCATTGCCACTAACCCTTGTTTGGTCATATTATAAAGGAGGAAAAAAAGCTGTAGTTTTGATCACTGTTCTATTGTAATAAGCACAGCCTGAGCTTTAGTAAAGTGAAAAAACCCCAACTCTGTGTGTATATTTTTTTTCATTTTAAGGACAGTAATTTTTTCTTTTTGATTTCAAGTACTTTCTATGTTTACAGCATAGAAAGTTTTATGCTATAAGCATCTTTTGGTAAAATTAGACTACTTTGTCACTTCTGCTTATGGAATAGAGTAAAATACAGATAATAACATTTGCTTAAAGGAGACATTTAAAAAATAAGATGTGGTTTGTCTTAGCCCAATCAGCCTAAAACCACCAGGGACAACCTGTAAACAAACCAATTGAGTTTACTGACTCATTGCAGTGTGGGGACTGCACAACAGAGCAATTGTGGGGTATCTCATCAAACAAAGGAAAATATAGGGTTAACATAAGATTTTGCTAAAGAGTGGAATTTAGGTGTGATGTAAATGAAATGATATTCTATGGGCTCTAAGAAAGTATGGTTGTGTATAAAAGGGGTCAACCTCAGCTCTGTACTGTGAAATGGACCTATGGTTCTTGTCTTAGTCCATTTTGTGTTGCTCTAGAGGAACATCTGAGGCTGCGCAATCTCTAAGGAAAAGAGGTTTATTTGGCTCACTGCTCTGTGGGCTGTACAAGAAGCATGGCACCAGCATCTGCTCCTGGTGAGAGGCTCAGGCTGCTTCCACTCATGGCAGAAGGTGAGGGGAGGTGTAATGTGCTAAGATCATACGGTGAGAGAGAAAGCAAGGAGGGAGGAGGGAGGCGCCAGGCTCTATTTAACAACCAGCTCTCTTGAGAATGAATAAAGCAAGAACTCACTAACTGTTCCCTACCCCCAGGGAGAGCATTAATCTATTCATGAGGGACCCTCCCTGATAACCCAAACGTCTCCCATTAGGCCCCACCTCCGACACCTTGGTTTGAGGGAGACAAACATTCAAACCATAGCAGTCCTATTTTCTTGGAAATGAAGTCAAAATAGATGTCAAATGTTGTGTCCTGAGACCCATTCTCTGAAGCTTTGCACAGGAGCTTAAATCAAGGCTTCACTGATCACAATGACTTAACTCCTCCAGATAAGAGTGAGATGTTTCATTCTTATTGCAATAATTTTAAACAGCAATGCATCTCATAGTCTATGATTTCAGAGAATACAATTTCTCAGTAAGTAAGCAATAGTCCCTCTAAGAACTGGGTTTTTAGGGCATTTTATGGCTGCAATATGTATTTGGGAAAAATATTGTTTTCTGATAAATTTGCACCTAGCTTAATCTGCAGCTCTGGTTCTAGATTGATGAATGTCAGGGACATTGCTTTCTTGGTCCAAGTAATTTTCTCAGACTATATTCTATAACTTACTCTAATTCTAAACATTGATGAATAGGTCACTGTCCCTTCCTAGGTAATCTGAGTCAAGACACATAAAGAGTTTGTATTTCATATTTTAAATTTATAATACAAGGTGGTTGGAAGAAGTCTTCAACAGAGTATGTATATAGAATTAGATCGTTTTTAAATGTTAATGACTAAATTACCGTGCCTCCGACAGCATGTTTACCAGAACTCAGCATCCAAGTGTCCCACAGTTAGGTTTGCCAGTTTCCAACAGGAGGCCTCAAGGTGCTCAGACTCCCACTGTGGCATCTTCATAGTTTTTCTTTCTGGTTCTAGCTTGCTCTGGCTAACAACCACTATCATCAAAGTTGTCTGAGGAAGACCTCCTGTTGCTGTGACTGACGGGACTCTTGGTGGAAGCCCTATTCCCATGTGCCCATGGCTGCAGCTCCCCAAGGAAGCAGGACATTGTTGGATTCTCTAAGAAGCTCAGAGGAAGTTACTTCTCACTGTGGTGCCATATGGGATTTGAAGTCGTTCTACTCATGCTCTGTTTTTCAATAAAGCTGCTTCTGCCTCTGTCTTCTGTGCCGTGTCTCCTGTAAGGAATTCCCAAAACTTAAAGCAAACAAAACCAAAACCCAAAGCAAAAAATATATAAGTAAATAAATATACCAAACAAATCAACTAATTAAAAAAAAAGGAAGAAGAAATGAAGTCAACATTCTTTGAGATCCAGCTCTGATTCTACCTTACACAATGATCAAACCACAACACTTAACTTCAGCCCACAGGTCACCACATGGCCGTTCCTACCTTGCTTGTTGGCACAGCCATGTGATTTTCTTAAACAATGTTCCCCAGTCAGTGGATTCACAGGGTGAGAGTTGGCATAATACCTTTGGTGAAAATACAGAGGAGAAAGGTAATTGAAGGTGCTGGTGAGAGTATCATTGATGAGATTCTTCAAGGGCCCTAAGAGGGCTGGAGAAATAAGTAAGAAAAAAAAAGGTACTGATGGAAAAGGCTTCTAAAGAAAGACTTCTCAATGATCTATAATAACACTAACCATAACTACTAATAATTATTGAGCCTTTATTTGGGAAGGCACTGCAAAGAGAGCCTTATCTGCATCATCTTGTTCAATTCTTAGAACAGCTTGGTGAGTTACATACTATTATTTTCTCCATTTTATGAATGAGGATTCTGAGTCTCAAAGAGTAACTTGCTCAGATCCATGTGGCTAATAAGTGGTAGTGCTAGTTCTTAAACCAAATTTTCTCTGATTTCAGTGCTTGTGTTATTAGTTCTTAATATGCTTTCCAAAATATTGTGAGATATGCACCTTATTCTGAAACTTTAATGAGATCTGAAATACACATGCAAATAAGTATCTATAGAAGGTGAAAACTGTAATGTGTCTTTTTACATGCACTTTCAAAAATTATCTAAGCCTGCTTCATCCACTACCCCTTCTCTCTCTCTCTCTCTCTTTTTGTTTCTAACTCCTGAGTCCTCTCATTTTGACTCTCTTCCCATTATTCTTCTACTTTTCAGGTGGATGACCCATTTTCAAACTTATCCTGATTTTTACCTTTAGGATTTTACCTGGATATTATTCAATTTCATGAACCAAAATCACCAGTAAGATACAGCTTAACAGTTGTCAAATATTAATGATTGTAAGAAAAAATCAGATATGCTTGAAAAAATTATCAAGCATAAGCTATGAATTGATATGGGAAGTTTACTAGTGAAAACATAAGAAAAATTTGACCCACATGAGGGTTAAAGATTTAACACAGGTAACACATCCAACATGAGGATAAAATATAGTTTTATTAGTTTTGTCATAGTTGATTTGTTCTTTCTCTACACCTGCTGGTAAGAAGAAAAAACATTAACTTTGATTTAAAGCTTAGTTTGATCTGTTAATTTAGGCAGAAGCTTTATCAATAGTCTGCCTTGGCAAAAAGTAAAACACAAACAACGCTTAGTTTATTACACAGCCCTCCAACCCCCCGAGTTATCTCCCTCAGGTAGTGTCCTTGTGTCTGAGGGAAGGGGTGGGGCTTTCAGGGCATTATGAACATAGATGAATCAGAGTCCTAAGATGTTAGATGCTATGTCTCATAAATCCTCTAGTTTCCAGGACAACGACCCATCTAATTTCTGCCTTGTCGGCTGGCATTTGTGGCTAAAGTGTAACTCTTGCCTTTTGCTCTTCTTACTGCATAGAAACTGTCAAAATCACCAGTGGCAGCCAGTTTGCTAAGTCTAATGGTTAATTCTCTGTCGTTATTTGTGTCACTCTTCAGCAGCATCTGTCACAATTGATTTTTCCCTTCTCTTTCAGGTTTTGCATTCACATGGCTGCTAGAACACCACATTACCTTGGTTATTCTCCTTTACTCTCAAAGCTTCTTCATCAGTTTCCTTGGATGGCTCTTCCTTTTATTCCTAACCTCTTAATTTTGGAGTTCCCAGATCACTCTTCTGAAATCCAGTCCCATATATCTAATACCTTACTCAGTATCTCCACTTGGACGTCTGAGAGACAACTCAAACTTACCCCAAACCTGCCCTAGACATATCTTCCCTTTATCAGTTGCAATACTACAGTTTCTTAGACCAAAAATCTTGGGGTCTTCAGGCTCTGCTAGTCCATAGCTTTGTCTCTTTCCTCATAGGGGAGAAACATAGATCAGGATTTTTTTTCTCCTAAGGTCTTGCCTCTGTGATTCACAACCCTTTCTCTTAATTGACAATTACTGTATTACAGTGCATAATCATTTTACATGTGCAAAGTTGTTTTGAAACCTAGAGACCTAGGTAAATTTGGGGTAAAACCATATATGGAATTTGAAATTTATAATCTGAAATAATCTTTTTCATCAAAATCAGATAAATGCATAAATTTTCTCTTGCAGGCTTGAGTAATAATTTCAACTGGCCGCATTTCCTTGACCTCCTTTTGATCCTCCATGGGGTCTCAAATTCAACAATTCAACATGTTTAAAATACCATCTTTCCTACAAGAGGCACTTATAGCTACATTTGTCCTTCTTCTGGAAATAGAACCTCTATTCTTCTTAGAATTGTTTCTCTCCCTGGTCTAATTTTACAGCTTCCATGAGCATTGCCATTTTCTTGCATGAGCCCACCACCCTGGCTCCCATTTGATTGGTTCAGGAATGTCAACCTGGCCCAAGCTAAGCCAATCATAGTATTTTAAGACTCTAGTTACAACTGTTTGATCCATTATGTAACACAAGATGGGTCAGTTACAATCCTTCCTTAGAATATTTGAAATTGGAAGCACAGAAAATAAAAGGCAGTTCCCTTCGGAGATAAAACCTATCAGAAGTAAAACTTGGGAGCTGTTTGTAGTCACATTTCCGACTATACGAATGAAAACAGTCTGCAGTGAGAAAGAATAAAACTGACATCCAGAGACAGGTACAGATGAAAGGTAGAAAACTAGATTCTGGTGACATTCTGGTGGCTAGATCTAGTTTTTCCTGGGGCTCAGTAGGCTATCTTTTCAACAGGTATTAATGAAGAATCTTGTACTTTATATTATGGATACCCTTGCTAACTATACTAAGAAGGAAAAAAAGTATTCATTTTCTTATATAATTGGGAAGGACATCAAAGTAGCTAATATAATCAAATAGCTGCAGTAACCAGGCCTCTATTTATGCTTCTGGCACTTCAGGACTGCTAGTTTTCTGTTTTTATATATCTCCCATTTCTGCTTATTTTAGCTTTTGAATTAGTCTCAACTGGACTTCATGCAGTTATGCTTTTTCTAGGGCACTGAGGAAGATGGCTGCAAGCTGCTCCAGTGTCTTTTCATCCTTCCTAAAGGATGACCCCGAAGACAAAGGCTGTAGGGGAAAAGTCTAATGAAGGCTCCTGATTGGTGTAGTTTAGGTCTCATGACCACCTTTGAACCAATCACTCTGGCTAGACCCAGCTCATATGCTACTTCTGTGTCTGTGGATAAGTCAGAGTCAGACACAGCTTTACAGAAAACATGAGAAGTGAAGGGTACAGTTACTATAAAGGATATTGTAATACATTCTGAGAAGACAGCACTATAGCTACCAGAGTCCACTATACCATTGTTTGTTGGTTTAATTCTTTCTTGGATTCGGTGCAGCAATAAAAGTCATTTTTTGCCTAAGGCAGATGAGTTTCCTCTCATTTGCAATCAAGAGTCCTGATGAACACACATTTTCCCATCTCTCTTTTTCTTCTTAGATTCCTATCTCCCTGAATGACACTGCTTACTGAATCATTCTAGTTAAAAATGTGGGAATCCTCCTCAAGTTTTCTCTTTCACTCTCCATAGTCAAAAATGTGGGAATTATTCTTAATTTCTGCCTATTCCTTCTATATTCAATAGATATCCATATCCAGATATCCTGCTATGTCAGTTCTAACTCTAAAATAGCTCTATAAACAGACTCACTATTCCATTCCTATTGTCACAGCCATTGTTCACACTCTCATCATCTTTTGCATGATGTGCCTCCTTAATTAGTTCACTTACTTTCGGTCTTGCTTATTTGCATTCTATCTTCCACACTACTTTAAAAGTAAATCATCATGTCATTTCCCTGAATGGTATTTTCTCTTGGCACCCATTGCCTTTAGAATAAACTTAAAAAATTTCTTGGTGATGTGTACAGGACCCTTTCTGAATTTTTGCTAAGCATGCTTAACTTCTCTTGGTGTTTAGGTCTCAGCATCAGTTCTCACCTATGTATCCCACCTATGTATGTCACTGCTGTGTCATCTTCATTCTATTCTTTTCAGTCAGTGCTGTTCTGACCCTAAACTCTACTCTTATCATTAGGTGTCCTTTATTTGCTCTTGGGACTCCTTGATATCCTGAATCCTTCTGCCTTTGGTACTTACCAGGTTCCCAAATCTTATATTATACATAAATCACTTATGGAGCTTTTCCTTTACCTGCCCTGGACACACTGCATTGGAAACATTTTAAAAATTTCCTCCTGGATCAGGTGTTTTGTAGGAGCAGTCATTTAGCAAACACTTGAGTGTTTCTGCTACTGCCTGATATTGAAGTTCTCAAATGCTTCTTTCCTCACTGATTGGAGCAATAAAAGTCATTTTTGCACCTTTACCTACTTCTGAGACTTCTTCTGATTGGCTGACCTGACTTTAAAATCTCTTCAGATTCCATCATAGTCATGTCTGCTCCCCACCCTCATGACATTAACGCAGAATCGGCTATTCCAACCATTTCGCTCTCCTATAGTTATGCAGCCCCTCCATTATTCCATCTCTTTGAATTTATTCTGTCTATATTTCCTTTATCATACATAATTAAAACTCTAGTTCAAGCGCCTAACTTATTTTTCCCAGCTACTTTGGCTATGTCTCCAACCATAAATTCTCCTTCTCACTTGAGAGCCCTGACATACCATTTCTAGATATTAACTAGGGCTTTAAAATTATTGCAGTGGCTGCAGTCATTGGCACACTACAGCGGAGGGCAGATAGTGTGCATCTCTTCCAACGTCCATTTTTAATAACATCATGGTGGTTGTATAAAATCAGCTATGGTGTGAATATTTACACCACCCAAATCAGCAAATACTCAGCAAATGCTAGATTTCTTTTCCCTTGGAGGGCTGGTTGTTACGCATTTACCAGCATATCACTAGCTTCAGTGGATGACCAAGCTGTGGGACCCCTGGTGCCAGCCTAGAGTACCTGATATAACCACTGCAGGTAAGAAGTATACACCATGGACTAATACCAGCTGAAAGCAAAAGTTGACTGAGCCTGGACAAGTGGGTTGTTAGTAGTCTCTAGACCTTAAAAAGTGTAAAACTAAGCTCCTAGTTCTGCTCCAAATCTGTTCTACTCCTGTACTGATTCATCTCAATTAGTGGCAACAACATTCACTGGGAACTTGCACAAATCATGTAAGCAATCTGTGCATCAAGTTTGGGCACTCTAGTAGCATGTATCTCATAGGCTGTTTTGAGGATTAAATGAGTTGTGATTGGTAAAGTGCTTAGAATTATGTCTGGCACAATCATGATTTCCTGAAACACTATGTAAGTTTTTAAATAATTGCTCAGACCCAAACCCTTAGTCAGCTTTGCCTCCATCATTTCTCTCATACCCCATATCCAATCTGTCAGGAAATCCTTTCCCTCAATTTTCAAAATATATACGTGGATCTGACCACATCTTGGTACTTCTACTGTGACAACTTGGATCGAGCCTCCATCATGTCAATCTGAATTATTGTGCTGGATTTCCTACTTTCACTCTTGCTCCCTCTGCTGTTTATTTCTACCATAACAACCAGAGTGATCCCTTTTCATTATTTTTAGACCATGTCCACTTCTCAGCTGAAAACCCTCTAATGCAGGGGCTTCCAATCTTTGGGCTTCTCTGGACCACAGTGGAAGAAGAAGAATTGTTTTGGATCACATATAAAATATACTAACACTAAAATAGCTGATGCGCTAAAAAAAATTGCAGAAACATCTCATAATGTTTTAAGAAAGTCTACGAATTTGTGTGGTTCTGTGCTGAAATCTGTCCTGGGCTGCATGTGGCCTGGGCCACAGGTTGGACAAGCTTGCTCTAGTGGTTTCCCATTTTTCTAAAAGTAATAGCCAAAGTCCTTCCAAAGGCTTACAAGGCTTTGGCCCAGCTCTGAGCTTTCCTCTGAGATCATCTTTTATAATAGTGTCTCACTCAGATCTAGTCCTCCTCAAATTCTACCATGGAGTGAGTGAGGGGAGTATTGTAGGACCGTCAAAACAAGAATGAGTGATAAAGCAAGAATGGGCACAGTGAGGGCAAGGGGTGCAGGGTGGGGTGTATGGTTCAAGTGGTACAGATCAAAAACTAAGAGTCCACGTAGGAGCAGTTCAAGAATTTTGTCCAAAACAAAACAAGTGAAAACAAGATCTGTACCCAGCCCCTTGGAAATAGGCCTAGTATGAAGAAGGCAAGAAAACAGCTCCAAGTGCCCGGCATAGATCTTGCCAGCCTTGGATACCCTTGAGTCCTAAAATTAGGCCAAATGTGGTCTGGCTTTGTTGTAGCGGTATTTGGTGCTAGGAAGCCTGTACATGTTTTGACACAAAAAATATTTCTAAACCTGGTGGTATGAGGAACCAACTCCTGTAATAACACTGACTTGATTTTCTCCTAGAAAAGTGATGAGATGGCTCCTATAACTATAACTGAAATTTCCTTGGGAAAAGCTGGGATGTGGCTAACACGAAGGCAAGCAAAAAAAAAAAAAAAAAAAAAAAAAAAAAACAACTGTGGCAGCCAGGACAACTGGGAGAATCAGCTGTGATCTAGCTCATGGATAATCTTCCTTTTATTCAGAGACCAAGAATACATAGACCAAGAGCAGATATACTGATTGCTATCTTTTAAAATACAGTCTTGATAGGGCCATATTGTAAACCAAGCAAGCAGATAATAAAAAAACGAAACAAAACCAGAAAGAAGCCTTTTGTCTGCCCACTTTAAAACATTGTACTGGGAAAAATCTACTGCAATGAAATCTACTGGGTAGGATCCCAACTGTTGTCTTACAGCCCAGCCTCATCATCTGCCTCGTCCCTTTTTCTGATACTGATCTCAGTTTATTAATCCTTTTCCAGTCTGTACACGTACCTTTCCAGTTTTGTTTCTGGCATATTAGCTCATTGTTACCTGCTTGTTTCTGGGATTCAATACTGCTTTTATGATTACTTGGCTGTAGCTCTTCTATTCATTACATCTGCTTTGCTTGGGTCCGTATGCTTTAGGTCCCTGTGGGTATAGTTGGCCCTAGTATTATAACCTTCCCCGATCCCAACTCCCCTGGCCCCTTTGTCATCTGTATTTGCCTTATCCTGGCTTCTCCTAGACCATGTCCTTGGGTTAATCCAGGCTACCCTCAGAGATATACAGGCTACTCTATGCAGACATCTCATGACATGATAGAAAATTTCATCATAGCACATCCAGCCACCAAATAAAATATTCCAGCATGCTGACAAGGTTAAAGGTTGGTCTAATTAAATTTGTCCTAGCTGAGAATTTAGGACTTGGTCCTAGACCCTTCTGTAACTAGACCCTCCTGTGAATCGTTTCCATAAAGTCCTGATGAATGTGACAAAAATTTGGTGATGAATCCTTTATACTTATATGTAATTGATGCTGTTGGTTTACTACAGAGTTGCCCATGTAGCCAATATACACTTCCCCCAGCTGCTGAAAGTGCAGAAGTTGAGGCCTAGGCCAGCAACTTTCTCCAAAGGTTCTCCCTTGGCTGACCGAGCTATCTCATCCAGAGATGCTTGGGAAGTTACTCCCTCCCCCTACCCCCACTCTACCTGGATTAGACTTCAAATCCAGTTTTTTATATAGGGTGGAGTTGAGGGAAATGAGCCTTCTTCCCACATAATCACCATATGGGACTCTCTGGGAAAGGCTACTAGTCTGTGACTTTGTGCTGTATGAGTGGTGCCAATTAAAATTATTCTTCCTCCCACCTTTAAATAAAATCTACCTTGTGACTTCACATTTTTAGTCAATTCAAGCATTAAAACCTTTCTCTTACACTGATTAGGGCATTATTTCCAGATGAGAGCTCTGATACATCTTTTTGGACAAGCTGTCAAATCCTTGCATCATCAAGTATGCTTTACCCCAGTAATGACTTGCATCTTTTACAGGAAATAGATCTTCAGACTTATAAAATACAGGTACGAGAGAGAGTGTTAGTTCCTTTCATCAAATTGCATTGATGTGAGGCTTGAGAAAGAGGCACTGGATTCTGTTTCCATGACAACCGCTTCACTGCTCAAGGGGAAAACAGGACAGTGATTGAAATCTGTGTTAATGGCAGCTCTAAAAATAATCAGCAATGTATTGAAATCAAATGAAAGACCCAGGAAGCAATTAATAAAAATTGTAACCATGGAGAGTGAGATTATTACAGTTATAATATTCTTTAAGAATTACAGAAATGGCTGGTGACAAAAATAGTTTTGGGGAGAATCAATTATTATTTTGTTTCAGGTGGCTGTCGATATATTCATTATATGCCAGCCATAGGTTAGGACCTGAAGATACAGAGGTGAATCAACAATGTCTCTATCTTCCAGGACCTCATGGTTTTATCTTCTAGGATCTACAGTTTTATAAAAAGAGAATCCACCATGATTATAATGGACATTTTGTTTGCATACCCAACATCTAACCATTTCCCACTGTGTAGCAGCCAGGCAATTCCATAGCCAAGTCCAGGGACAATTCAAAATCATTTAGTATAGTTATTGGTTCTTCAGTGAGCATGCAACCAAGGCATAAACCTATATGACACCCTTTTATTAAGAGTGGCTTCTGCACAAAGCTCAGAAATGTTGAGTGGCTGTGGGATGCTTATAATCTTTTTTACTTAAACATAAAAGAGGGAGCAGTAAGGTCTGCTGCTTCAGGCAGCTACCTTGTGATTAGGGGGAAAATCAGCCTGAGGATGAAACCAGCCCTTGGACAAGGGCAATGCCAAGAGAATCACAGAGAAACACAGCCAGACCTTACTGAACTGCATGAACCTACTCTATCTACCTCCATATGTTCTAGAGATCACAACCCACCAAATTTCTTTTTGTGGAAGCTTGAGTTGCGTTTTCGTGTTTTTCTCACCTGAAAATAAAAAAAAGCATACAGCTAATAACAAATGTCAATGTCATGAAATAAGTGTAATATTGCAAATAAGCAGAGGTAACTATTGGATGTACAGAGAGAGAATAAATCAGAGGGAGAAAGAGGAGGTAACAATGAACTCAATCTCGGAGAAAGGAGAGCAGAGAAGATCATGAAGCATCTTATATTGTGAAGGCAGAAAATTCAGCTTTGTTGTCAGCATAGTTCCTGACTGTCCAACTGTCTAGGATTGCCGGTCAATGGCAAAATGGGCCTATTTTAACCCAAGCTGTATGCAGAGGTGGATGTATCATGAACCTAAAGAAGCTTAAGCTCATGTGCTTGTTACTTATACTTCCCCTTTGGGGAGGAAGTAGCAGCCATGGCTGCACATTAGCAAATGGGCTGCCCCAACTTAAAGGTTATACTCTTAGACCTGGTGGTGTTTTTCCATTGTGGATGGAATTTTTGAAATTGTGATGTTTATGGTATATATCAACTTTTAAAATGTTGTAACTTGGTTTTATGTATTTTCTAAGTAAATATTCTCTTTAGTATCTAAATTTGTATTCTTTTAATTAAATAAGGTGCTCCAAACTGTATGATTGTCAGACCCACAAAACCTACATCTGTCACCTGTTTTATGAGTCGAATATTCTGAGTCTTCTTCAGATAAGTCGGTTTTAACTAAAGCTTATTTCTCTCCAGCATCTTCCTGCAATCTGTAAGACGTATGAACATGGTGAAGTATCTGCCTATTTCTCTATTTTCTAAAATTTCAGACATAGCAGGCATGTTGTCTGAGAGAGCGGGCTATCAGCACTATTTCTACGTTCTCCTGGCCTCCAGGAACAACCATTGGTGAACCCAGTCAAGTATCTGGGCCTTATCTTTTTTTTTTTTTTTTGAGATGGAGTCTCGCTCTGTAGCCAAGGCTGGAGTTCAGTGGCATGATTTTGGTTCACTGCAATCACTGCCTCCCAGGTTCAAGCAATTCTCCTGCCTCAGCCTCCTGAGTAGCTGGGACTACAGGTGAGTGCAACCACACCCGGGTAATTTTTGTATTTTTAGTAGAGACGGGGTTTCACCATGTTGGTCAGGCTGGTCTGGAACTCCTGACCTCAGGTGATCCACCTGCCTCGGCCTCCCAAAGTGCTGGGATTATAGGCATGAGCCACCGCACCTGGCCTCTGGACCTTATCTTTAACCCCAATGAGAAGAACTTGAACTACTCCTTGTTCTCATCTCTGACTTGGGGACCTAAGAATTAGGCTTCATAGCTGTTTAACATCACAAATCCCAAACTTGAAGGAGTGAAGAAAATAAGTGAAATCTGGACAGGTTAGACCAGGTGCTGCAGAAGTTTGTGTGTGTGTGTGTGTGTGTGTGTGTGTGTGTGTGTGTGATGTTGGGGCAGGCATACTCGGCTGTATCAAAGGGTTGGGATTCTCTGAGGGCTTGTTCCCAGACAAAAAACCATGAGAGCAAGAAACTGGAGATATTTAGAAGGAGCAAAATTCAATAACTAGATATGAAAAGGAAAAACATTTTCTAAATTTAAATAAATTGCAGTAAATAATATTAAAGACTAGGTTATTTTTCTATCCTCCCTAGAGAAAGCATTGAAAAAATCATTGCTACATAAAGAACTTCTCAAAGCATATCAAGCCAAAAAATGTAGAATAAATATTATAAAGCTGTATCAGGCAGTTAATGATGATACTAACAGTAGTAATTTATTAAATTTTTAAAATTGTGATGTTTATGGTATTTATCAATTTTTAAAATGTTGTAACTTGTTTTTATGTATTTTCTAAGTAAATATTCTCTTTAGTATCTAAATTTGTATTCTTTTAGTTAAATAGGGTCCTCCAAACTGTATGATTGTCAGACCCACAAAACCTACATCTGTCACCTGTTTTATGAGTCGAATATTCTGAGTCTTCTTCAGATGAGTTGGTTTTAACTAAAGCTTATTTCTCTCCAGCATCTTCCTGCAATCTATAAGAAGTATGAACATGGTGAAGTATCTGCCTATTTTTCTATTTTCTAAAATTTCAGACATAGCAGGCATGTTGTCTGAATCCTAAATGCAATGGGCAATGATTTAACCAACTGTTTTGTTATTACATGTACCAGTTTCCTGGAAGTACCACAAACTGGGTGGCTAAAAACAACAGAAATTTATTCTGTCACAGTTCTAGAGGTTAAAAGTCTGAAATCAAGGTATCAGCGGGGTATGCTCCTGGTGAAGACTCCAGGGAAGAATACTTCCTTGCCTTTCCCTAGCTTCTGGCGGCTCTCACAATCCTTGGCTTCCTTGGTTTGTAGCTGCATCACTCCAGTCTCTGCCTCCATCTTCACATGGCCTTCTTCTTTGTGTCTCTGTGTGCCCCCTCCTCTTCTTATAAGGACACCAGTCATTTGATTTAGGACCCACTGTAATTCAGTATGACCTCAACTTAATTACATTTGCAAAGGCCCCATTTCCAATTAAGGTCATATTTTGAGGTTTCAGGTGGATATGAATTTTTGGAAGGCACTATTCAAACTACTCCATTACATAACAGGCACATTGTACCCCCAGATGGGGATGGAGTGATTTGCATTGTTCCTATGCCATCTTGTTTCAGCAAGTTCCACATTTTAAAGTCTGTAATTGACAAGATTTCAGTTCTAAGTATAAATACTCCTAGACTTACCTCTTTGATAAATCCATTATATATTCATAATATTCTAAATTGAAAATGCATTTAATACACCTAGCCTACCAAATATCATAGCTTAGCCTACCCTACTTTAAATATGCTCAGAAAACTTACATTAGCCTATGGTCAGGCAAAATCATCTAACCCTAAGATTATTATATAATAAAGTGTTGAATATATCATGTAATTTATTGTGTATAGTACATGATAGAGTACAGTATCATTTTTCAGTCCTCATGGTCACATGACTTGGAGCTGTGGCTCACTACTGCCGCCCAGCATCACGGGAGATTATCATCTCATATCTATAGCCTTGGAAAAGATCAAAGTGTGGTTTCTATTGAATGCATGTAGCTTTTGCATCACTGTAAAGTTGAAAAATTGTAAGTTGAGCCATAACTTGGGGACCATCTGTACAAATCTCTGCATCAATAAAAAATCTTTGAAATGAAAGTGATTAAAACTCAATTTGAGCTTATTAGGCAAAAGGGTAAATTTATTGGCACATTAATTATGGTAAGGACAGGGATGATGGAACATCGAACTAGAGGCTCTAATCTGTATTATTCTCTTCCTTCTCCTCCTGTGAATCTTTCTAAACAGTGACTTCATTTTCTCAAGCTGGCTGAAATGATGTGCACCATCCCTCTTCCTGGGATCATAAACTCATTGCTTCATGACTAGAGATTAAATGTTCTCAATGTAAAAGTCCTGGAAGAAGGCTAATATTCCCACCTTGAGTAAAGTTCTCAACTGTGGGCCAATTGCTGTCCTAACAAGGAGATATACTGTTTTTGCCATAGCTTAGCCATGTATTCATTCTTACATCCAGGACAGTGATGGGGTCTATTACTAGAAGAAATGAGGAAAAAATGTTAGGTAGACAAAAGGTATAAGTTTGCTATCAAATCATAGTTGCTTTCTCCATTCTCTCCTGTACTCCTCCACTCCCCTTTCACATAATACAGAGAATTGGATTAGAAATTGTATGGATTGGTCGGGTGCGGTGGCTCACGTCTGTAATGCCAGCACTTTGGGAGGCCGAGGCGAGCAGATCACCTGAGGTCAGGAGTTCCAGACCAGCCTGCTTAACATGACGAAACTCTGTCTCTACTAAAAATACAAAAAATTAGTGGGGTGAGGTGGCAGGCACCTGTAATCCCAGCTACTCAGGAGGCTGAGGCAGGAGAATTGGTTGAACCCAGGAGGTGGAGGTTGCAGTGAGCCAAGATCATGCCACTGCACTCCAGCCTGGATGACAAGAGCAAAACTCTGTCTCAAAACAAAACAAAACAAACAAACAAACAAAATTGTATGGATCACCCAACAAATAATAGCTAAAGCTAAAAATGAAGGTGAAAGAACAGTAGTTTTTGCTTTCAGTTGCAGTGCTCAAATGCCATCTAAAAAAAAAAAATACATGTGGAAAACACTCCGCACTTGAAAGCTCAGAGACCTGAATTTTAGTCCCTCATCTGCCTCTAACATGTGACCTTGAACAAGTGACTAACATTACTCTTTCTCACTATCAATATGCCTGACATTATGAAAGTCAACAAGAAAGATTTAAAAAGTAGTTTAGGAAAATCTATATTTAAAATGATAGAATGCTCTATATCTTCTGAGAAAGCTGTTGATTTAATTTAAGAAAATTAAATAGGAGAGAAAGTCTTGTATAGTGAAAATATCACTTAATTTGAATTTAAGAGTTCTGATTCTGTCTGACTCTCAAGTTATTTACTGGTAGGCCCCTCAAGCTGCTGCTTCTATAAAATCAGTGGGTTATATTTAGTTTATCTCTTAGGTCTCTTCCAGTTCTAATATTCCATAAAAATACAATGAAACCTCAATTATCCAAACCTTATATTGCTTGCTTCTTATAAAATGGAAATGTGTTTATCCTTCTGGAGGTTTGTAGCATTTCTTAAATCTGAAAAATTCTTGGCTACTTTCTCTTCAAATATTGTTTTAGTCCCATTTTCTTCTCCTTTCTTTCTGTACCTTGAGTAAACCTTTTAATTATATCTGATAAGTTTCTCATGCCCTTTCTGGATTCTCCATCCTCTTAACTGTCCGTGTGTCCGTTTGGGTATTTTCTTCTGACCTACCTTTTAGTTTATAAATTCTCTTTTCAATTGTATATATTTTGTTTTTTTAATACGTGAACTATGAGGTGCTTATTGATAATTTCCTTGTACATATCTTGTATTGAATTCAGTGATCTTACTTAATCTTTGGGTTGATAAGTTTTTTGAGTTTGAAAATTCTATCATCATCTTTTAAAATATTGTTCTGCCACCATGTCTTTCTCTTTTCTTTGGGTCATCTAGTTACACCTATGTTTGATTTTTTAACTGTGTCCAATACATATCTTAAACACTTGGTTTTAATTTTTTTCTATTTATTTTTCTAACACTTTGCCTTTATATTTAATATTTTCTAGGGACCTGTTTTTAATTTCATAAACCTCGTGTTCTGCTTTGTTCTATCTGCCTTTAAAACCAAATAAATTTTTTTAAATTTCAGATTTCTAAAAAATTTCAGACTAAGAATGTCCACTTAATTTTTTTTTTTTTTTTTTTTTTTTTTGAGACAGAGTCTCACTCTCTCACCCAGGCTGGAGTACAGTGGCATGATCTCGGTTCACTGCAACCTCCACTTCCTGGGTTCAAGCGATTCTCCTGCCTCAGCCTCCTGAGTAGCTTGGATTACAGGAGCGCACCACCATGCCTGGCTAATTTTTGTATTTTTAGTAGAAATGGGGTTTCACCACGTTGGTCAGGCTGATCTCAAACTCCTGACCTTGTGATCCACCTGCCTCGGCCTCCCAAAGTGCTGAGATTACAGGCATGAGCCACTGTGCCTGGTCCCACTGATTTTTTATAGCTTCTAATTTTCTGTTGAAATTCTCCCACTCCTTATCTTTTGCTTTACTTTCTTTTATCGATCAATCTAAGTATTTTAAAGTCTGAGTATCCTGTAGAACTCTCTCTAAGTCATTATCTCTATCTTACCAGTAGGGAAACTAAAAAATTTCATGAAGAATAAAATCCATTGTACAATGCGTAATATAGTCAAAGATCTTGAAAAAGAATTGGTGTCTAAACCATTATTTTTCACTTTTAATCAATAAACATTATTCCTCTTTAGAGGAGGTAAAAAAACCCATATAAAATATACTGAAAATAAATTTCATTAAACATTAAATGATGAATAGTTCTAAATCTATCTTCTTTGCATTCATTAACTAGCACTTCAGAGCAAAAATAATGGTAGCTTTTGTTATGGCTTCATATTTCTTTAAAATATTGACTTAAAATAGATTTTCAATCTGGGGAATAGATAAGAACTAATGCCATTTGGTTTTAAATAGAATTGTGTTGTAATCCTCAAGCTAAAGGCATAGCAAAAAAAAAAAAAATGACAACATCACTGGAAATTTGCCTCAGTCTACTTACTGTTCACCATTTAATTAGACACTTTTTAATTCTGGCAGAAAGTCTAAGGAATTCATGGATCCACCTTCTAAGCACATCAAGGAGTGTTAATACACTGGACAGTTAGAACAATGGCAGCAGAACATCTTATTTAAACTCTTGACATAATAAAATAATTTTTTCTTGTTTTGGTAATAATATCATTAATACTTTACAGTTGTGGCATACTACAATGTTAAAGATTCAATTAAGCAAGAGAGCACCATAATACACTTTAAATAAGACTGCTATAACTTTCACAGGCACGGTTTCAAACAAGACTAGTCAACCCTCATTATTCATTAGGACTACTTCATATAAGTCAGCTTACCAATAAGTAGCATTTTACAAAAGCCTCTTATCTACTGACTTACCATATAGGTCTTAGGAAAAATGTTTTATTTTTGAATAGTTATATGGATACTATAAAGATGGTGACTGTTTATCACTATGTTGTGAAATTTCTTGCCTTCCTTCAATTTTTTTTTTAAGTGGAGAAATGATTTTCTAAAAAGTCTGAGTCTTCTAAGCATAGCTCATCTCCTGGTAAAAATTGCAGTGCTCCATTAGTTAATAATGCCATCGCAAGCCGTCCTTTTCTCTCTTCTAATGTACCATACAAACAAAATTTGTGCAAGTCAAAGAGCAGGGCAAAGTTTTCATACTTCATAGAGCTTTAAGTAAGTTTATTTCATAGAACTGTGGGAGTGCCAGCCAAAGAGCTTCCAGTATGAAACTTTCAGTTGCCTTTATGGAGATGGCCACTGGCAGCCTACCACCTTGGTCATGCTCCCGTGGGCAGGCAGGGAGAAGGCAGCTTGCGCAGACAGCACAGAAAAAAGGCCTTTGGATAGAGGCGACTTCCCAGGCTCGTGAGCTGCAAGAGCCAGGCGCTCCAGTAGCACAGAGCCCGGAAATCGGGCACGCAGTCGGAGCGTGCGTGCAGGCACAGGAAGTGACGCAGAGTTGATGCGTCAGGCTTAGGCTCAGACTGCAGTGACAGCAGCTGCGTTCAGGTCTTCTCGAGTTCCTGAAGGATGGAGCCTGGGTTTTTTTTTTTTTTTTTTAATTTATTTCTAAATTTCCCCCCTTTTCCCTCTGTGTTGGTCATTTGCTGTTGTTATTTTTGACATGTTTTATAATTTTCAGTCGGTTTTCAGAATATAGATAGCATACTGTACATTCTCTATATGATGTTCCCACGAAAGTGCTGTTTTTATTTTTTAGTTATAAAGCACTTCAGTGAATGACTTTGATCCAGTTGAGACTTAGTTTTAAGCTTTGTTATACTTGACCTTTTTAATTTGCTACTTACAGGATGTGACCATTAATCTTAGAAAGTAGCTTTGCCCAAGTCCTGGACCTAGGTTTAGCACGCTCCCTCTGGATTTAATTCTAATCTCTAACTCCTCAGTGCCATTCAGCTGCTGAAATCTCTGCTCAGCATTCAAGCTTTCTGTTTGCTGTTTCCCACTACATATCTTGAAGGCTTGCCTTGTACATGCACAAGTCAGAAATTTACCCACAATTTGAGGGAAATTAGGATGCAGATTTGGGGACACTCTCTTAGCTTCCTGTCTTTTTCAATAGTTTGCTCCTCAAATCACAGCTCCTTTGGCGTCCTGAAACGCCAGACTTTGTCTCCTCTGACGTGTGAAACTCCTGCTTTCTTCTTGGGCTCTTTTCGCCTTCACCACAACTTGGAAAATGCCCCCAGGAAAATTCCGAGGTGAATGTTGAATACATCTTGTGTGCTTCCCTTTCTCAAGGATTTTAGCTGCTCAATATTACTTGCACTGGCTCTCCAATGCCTTCAGAAGATTGTTTATATATATATATTTTTCCAATTTTTAAACTTATTTTTGGTAGGAGGTTTAGTTAAATGTAAGCTACACTGTTGACTCCAGGGCCCAACATTTTATCCAGTGAATTTTAATTTGAACAGTTTTATCATTTCTAAATGTTATTTTAAGATTTCTTTTTAATGTGTACCCAATCATTTTTAAAACCTTTTGTTGCATGTTCCCTTTGTCTTCCTTTAAACAGTTTATATTTATCTATCTATATTTATGTTTGGATTCAAATAATTCCAAAAATTCTCTCTCTCTTTGTGTTTTTTTTTTCTTTGTATGCTTGTGATTTCTAATATTAACCGCAGATACCTTGATGTCATTTATGGAAGTTTTAAATTTCAGAATCTTTCATTTTTAGGAAATTTGTAAACAATGGATTATATGCATTTTTTCCTTATTTATTCTGGGTCTAGGTTTTAGGTAAGATGGCCTTTGAGAGTTTCCAGCCTGACAATATATACTGCTTGAAACAGAAAGTTATACATTTTAATTTTGAATTGTGCTCTCTGTGGAAAACTTGAAAAGAAGTAAAAATGTTTCGTGATGAACTTATGTTCACCAAGCCTCTCAGACACTTATATGCTTTGGCTGCAGAAATTCCAAACTCAACTTATTAAACTTTTTTATTTTACAAAGCTATATATTTTAGAAAGAAATCTATCCACCTGTTAGCTGAAATTCAATTAATTGTAAAGCATTTTTTCTTATTTAACGAAAAGAAGAATGTCTTTTTTTCCATGATTCAATAATTGAATAAGTGAAAATAAGCTTTGGTTCAGTTTGAAACTTATGACAGATTGGTAGGTGAATTATTTATCAATGAAAATGAATTATCTATAAAACTACCCAAAGCAGTCCAATACTGTCACTTGGTAGACAAATTTAGCATGATTAGAATTGACATATTTAAGGTAAGTAGGCATGGTCTACTTAATTATATTGAGACAGATAGAATGGGAAGAATTGAGACCTGAAACTAGACATTTCTGTTTGGTTTGGGCAGGTTCTCAGGGTGGCAGATGAGGAAGAAGGTGGAGAACAGGATAGAAATGAAATTTTGAGAAGGGAGTCCAGCCTAGAAGGTAGGATCCTGTAAGTCCCTTGACTGCTAGGCCATTGTATATCATTTTAACTGCTACTTCCAAAGTGTTTTCACAATGTCTCTCACATGATAGTTGCTCCAAAAATATTTTAAATGAAAAAAATTGAATAATAGAGGAGTCTAAAGATATGACAACAAATACTTCGGTCTCTAATAAGCGATTACAGGTTTCTCCATAATAAGGAGATACCTGCCAGGAGAACTGTCTAAATCCATTCAATAATTGGGTGACCTCTCCCTTGATCAAAGTATAAATGGGCATGACCAACTCTGAATCTCCTTTTGACCGTGATAAATGAATATTTCTAAGGTCTGTCTTTCCCCACCTGATAATGACAAAGCTGACTTTTTTTTTTTTGGCATGGTAAGGGCTTGCATGTATTAATTCATCTAATCCTCACACCAGCTCTATGAGATTGATGCCATTATTAAGAAAGGTAAAACAAGTATTCAATTATGATACCCCGCATTTCAATTACATTGCCATGACTTACCTCATTATAGCCTCATATAGGTTACCATAGACTAGTTCTAAATTTCAAAGGCAAAAATTGCCAAAGATTTGAATCCAAAGTAGCATGCAGACTACAGTCCTGATTATATTTTAAGTCTTTTGTTAAGTATAAAAGAAGATAGTGAAGCAAATTCTGGATAATTTGCTGCATTAGTAACTTAATAATACAACTTTTTCTTGAACCTGAAATCATGTGTTGATCAAGGAGTCTTACCAACAGTGTCTTACATCTCTTTAGAGAGTGCCTAGCCATTAGTATCATCCTTGCAAGAAAAGAGAAAATAATGAATGAGCAATTACATCTTACAGTATATTGAGCACTGTGCTAAGTGCTTTACATATAGCATCCAATTTAATTATTAGAACCGTTCTGTGTACTAGATATAATACTCTTAGCTTTTCAGATGAGGAAACTGGGCAAAATTAAATATCTTGCCAAAAGCACCTACCTGAGATAGGAATCTTTTTGTTTACAAATTCGTTAACTCAGTTAAATGCAGATTTGTTGTCATAAATTATATTGTCTGGTTATTTCTCTAAGCAATTAGTGCAAAGATAAAACAAGGAGTTGCCTTTGAACTGATGATTACCTCAGTCAAGGGTGGCTTCATTCCCCAAAGAACTGCAGTATAATGTGCATTCTTAACCAAAGCACTGGTCATTTCCTGTGGAAAAATAATTGGAGTGTGTTATATTTAGAGAACGACATGTTCATTCTTATAAAAATATTCAATTTTTTTTTCCTGTGTTATACTCCTTGGTATCTTTTCATCTTTTTATTTCGGAACCCATTCCAAGCTTCTAACCAAAAGCTTTTAGGCTTATAATTTTTGGCTATGCTACAGGTTACATGACCATGGGAACCCGATGACTGCCTTTTGGAAAACAGTGTGATTTTACTATAAAAGGAGTCTTTATGGATTCATAACTGGTGATGGGCTGTTGAGGATTGATTTTTCTCTGGTGTTTTTCCTTAGGCAGTCCCTCCACACCCAGCCATGGGTGCTCCTGGTTTTCATTCCATGGGCTGTGAGCTGTAGTCTCTCTCAAATTCCTTCTTTTTCCGGTTTCTACATGCTGTGAACTTGCTTTGAGAAGGGGCTTGAATCTATAGAGCTGAGTAGGTGAGAGTGGGTGGCTGGGCAGGGTATGTGATGTTAACACATTCTGTGTTTTTGATCCAAAGGGTAAAATATCAGGAAGGAAATGGAACTCTCATAAAGACGGCAAAAGGAATAGAACGACCTTAAATAAACTGCAAATATTGTTTTGAATCACCTCCCAACTTTTTGCTTTTCTGTCCTTCTTCTTTTGGCATCTTTCTGTCTTCCTCCTGGCCTGCCCCATTCTTTTTGGGGCTTCTCACTAGGGCAGTCACCTGGAGGGCTTGTTTCAATATCTGTATTGAAACAAGACTGTCCTCCAGTTTCCGATTCCATAAGTCTCCGGTGGGTTTTGAGGATTTTCATTTCTAACAAATTTCTAGGTGAAGCTGATGCTGCTGGTTCAGGGCCACACTTTGAGAACCACTGGCCTTGGGATGTGTTTTACCATCTTAATATGTTCATTCATTCATGCATTTGTTCATTCAGTTAATGTCCAGGCAGTGCCTTAGACATTGCATACTCCCCACAGAATCCAGCTTTAGTGACAAGCATTGAGTAGGTCTTCAATACATTTTAAACTGTTGTGCAATGTGCATTTCTCCAGGTCTCACTAGCCCATGGCTACCAAGCATTCTTTGGCAGGAGTGACTTGAACTGCACTGACTTTTACCCTCTCCTGTGTAGAACAAGAACTCCAGCACTGCTCCAAAAAGCACTTATTGTGTCTTAGGGATGCCTAGTCTTGTAGTTCATATACTTATAACCCAGGCAGTTCTGGTTACCACACACAAGCCTCTCCCATGGATGTCTTCTCTCTGTGCAGCTACTTATGGGTAACTTACTGCTGCACCTGCTGCTGTTGCTGCTTTCTATGGTAACCATGAAGTACACACCATGGGAGCTACCCACCTGTGCTCCAGAAGTTGCAATACCGGAGAGGTGATGGAGAGGATGAGATGCTCCCTGACCCTGCATCATATTTCCTCACCTTGCAAGCCAATGGCTGCTGATGCTTTGATATTGCACAGAATAATGTATGAAAATATCTCCATCAGTGCCTTCCTGTAGTTCTTCTTTTCTGGTGCTTGAATCCATAGTATTGGGGAGGTGGGCGTGGGTGAATGGGTAGGGTATGTAACATTAACCCAGTCTGTCTTTTCCAATCCAGTTTTGCTATCAATTCTTGAAACTTGTGTATGTAGTTACATACCCCAACATTGTATCAGATATGCTATATATGTCTGAATCATAGTAGGTGATCCAACTCAGTTGCAAAACTACCAGATACAGATGAATAAAGGATTCCAAATTTCTCTCTACATTTTCTCCTGCACTTTAAGGTGTTTGTTTATAATCCCAATGCATTTCTAACATTCCAGATTTAATCTGGTGAAGCCAGGGGCCTTCCCTTCCTTTAAATGTACTCTGTAGAATTTTTTCTTTTACATAAACTATACTTTAGGTGAGGAGAGAAAAAAATAATTTGTTGGTCTCCGCTAGTTTCCTGCAAGGAGCCCAAGGGTTGAGCAGTTTTATCCAATCTTTACTCCTTTACAAACACAGAAAACTACTGCTGCGTAGGTTGTTCTATGCCAAGAATGACCTAGAGCCAGTGTGTCTGTCCTGGTTTCTCCTTTGTGTGTGTGCCCTGGGGACAGAGATGGAGCAGAGTATCGAGACATTGAGTGCCCATTTCTGAAATAGAGAAGCTTAGTTGTCTAGATTGTGTGGGGGCTTTTTGAAGAAACCCAGGGCAACCTCCAATTTTCCTAATTCTTACTTTATTCCATGATAACTCTATGAATTATCAGGTTTTAGAACTATAAAAAAATGCAAATTATTCTAATCTGCATAAATTATCTAATTATTAAGAAGTGAAATAATAATTTTATACATGTCTATCATTTCAAATATATGCAAAATTGGCTGTCGTACATTTTATCTCTTTACCATATCATGGTATGTTCATGCAGACATTGCCCAGCTTCTGGTCATGTGGCAGGACCATTCTAACACAGACACAACATCAAATAATGGAACAAATGTTCCTAGGGAAATGAGGCAAATGGATTATTGCAGGAGATTTCCATACCAGGAAATTGGAGGAAGGTGCAAGTTATAATAGTAGACAGAGGAGAGAATACCTAATACAATGCAATGCCAGGCATTTTACCTGCTGGAAATATGCTTATTTGGTGTTCTCTTGAGGTCATATATGAGTGATTAGGCTGGCACATAGTGTTACTTCACAGACTTGTAAGACCAGTTCTGAGGAGACAGGTGATTTTCTCCAAAAGCACTTTTCCTACTGCAAATAGATGTACTAGTTTAGGTCAACAGGAATGATGTCCTTAGGGGTGAGCAATAAAGTGCCAGATAAAAAGTGCACATATTTCTATAAAATATATTCAATGTAACTTCTTTTACATACAGTTCAAAAGACAGATACAGTATAGAGTACTATTTAACACTTCTATGACAAAACTTCAAAGACTATTAAGTTAAAAGTTTTTCAGCTGCAGGCAGGGCAGCTTGGTGCTGTCCAGGCCTGGTGTTGGAATGGATAGCAAAGGTATTAGCAAATTCCATACAATAAGTAGGACAAAGGTTGTAGCCAGGAACCTATGCTAATGCTGGGATTTTAATTATAATAGGGTTATGGGTCCTAGAAATCAGGACTATGAGGAGCAAGGGATAGGGTCCCCCAGTGGAGGAGTCTGTGCAGCACTGAACCAAGAACAAGGTATCCATCTCCAGGTCTGCAATCTATGCAACAAACCTGGGTCAGCAGTGGCAAGGAAAAACTTAATACTTAGCTTTTAAGTGATTGGAGTCCTTATATATTGTCCTTCACTTTCCCAAGGGCTCTCAGGAGATGGGCAAGCTGCCACACAGTCACAGCAAGTGACACACCTGACAGGAATGGGGGAAATGAGAGTGCTGTGGGTGGAAGAATGAGGCCCGATTCACTATCTAATCTGGTCCAGGAGTTGTCCCAGACTGAAGGCAAATAGCCTTTACCAAACTAGGATCTTACTATTGGAAGCCTTGAAGGATTTACGGATTACTTCATTGCCAGTGAAACCTAAGACATCATTTAATTGTAAAAAGGTGTTAACTTGCTCCTAGAACTAAGTATTTAACTCATAGTACAGTGAATTATAACTCTGCACATTAGAAGCTTTTAAAACTGTGGATTCCTGGGCCCTACTTTAGATCATTTAGAATCTCTGGGAAGATGGATGGGGTCTAGACACTCATATATTTTTAAAATTTTCAGGGATTTTACTGTTCTTTAATATTTAAACTTAATTTTTAAATGACTGAAGTAATATGCGTTTTTTATTGTAAACAAATTATTTGTTCTACTCTCCTATGTAGATTTATAACATATATACAAGGTATAAAGAATATAAAATAAATAGCTATTTATGTACCACCTTTTCCAATTTGATTGAAGGATAAGATATATATAAATATGGAAAAGTACAGAAATCACAAATGTATAGTCAATGTGTTATCCCAAAATAAACATACTTAGGTAAATCCCATCTAAATGAAGAAACAGAACATTCCCACAATCCTGCTTTGCTCATGTTTTTTCTCCATCACCATCCTTGCCCCTCCATAAAGATATAAAAAGTCCTCAGGTAATTCCGATGGTCCCTACCATTATCTTACTGTCTACTTTTTCACTTTATTTCTCTCATTGTTTTTTAAGAAGAGAAAGTACTTTAGGCATGAGAATTATTTGTCTCTCTGATCTAATAATATTAATAATAATGAATACTTTGAGTTCTATATGTTCACTCACAGATTATATTGTAAGTTATACACGAATGTTATATTGTGGCAACAAATTTTCAAGCTAACGCTTGTTCAAGGAATTTAGCCTTATTTTTCTAAAACTAAATTAAACTTCTCTGTTTCCCATGCTACCTGATGGCAAAAAACACCTTTCCATTCAGTTTCAACAGAGACCATGAGCAATTGATGGCAATTGCTTCCACATTCGAAAATGAGATATGGATCCGCAGTGCTAAGGGAGGTGGGTTGCTGCATTGGGAAGTCTGAGGTTGCTGGAGCAAATGATGGTGACCATGTCCACTGGATCACTTGTGGGGCAGTACACAGAGGCCCAAGTTAGAAAACCAGCCTGCAGGTCAGCTTAAATGCTGCCTAAGAGAACAGCCTGGAGAGATGAGGTGATCTCAACAGAACAGGGGGCTACCAAGTTCCAAGGGACTAAGGGGCCATCAACAGCCAGCTAGAGAGATGCTTTGATAGTGGTGTCTTTGAATTAACTATCTCAGAGTCAGCTTTACACACCTGCCAAACCTGGAGAGCTTATAAGTCAATTTGCAGCAGTATCAATGGAGTAGCAAGGCCATTTCTGCTATTATTGCTTCTCTCTCTCCACTACCTTGGAACAGCCAGAGCCAGGCTCAAAGTGGGGTGAGCGGCTGGGTGAGTGGTTAAGGAATAAGAGCTCTAGGCAGGAACAAAAAAGAATGTAAGATGGGTCTCCTCTGTCCCTTTTCAGTAGATTTTGGCTATGCTTTTTGAGGGACTGCTATCTTCTGGAGAAATTCTGGGAATTTAAAAGAAATTTTTAAAGAAATTGACTGTGATATAGAATCAAACATATTAATTAGTTTATGTGTATTATGTGTCTGTATGTCTATGGCTAACAACTGGAGAACTTTTACAAAAATTTAAGTATGACTGGAAAAGTCATGGGGACTGCCTGAGTTTCCATTTAAGAAAGTTGAAAAGAGATATCAGGCCACAGAACAGGTTTCAATGGGCAGTGGGGGGAATCACTAAAATTGTGCTCTGATTATATCTGACAAGCCCCATTTATCCACTGTATTGGCTATATCAATATGTTGGCTACAAATAATTCAGTGTGCTTGTCCTCAATTCTACCATGATTGCTTTGCTGTGGTGCAGTGGTGACTATCTGTCAAGGCCTGGGCTGAGGAGAGAGGCCTCTGAGCAGTTTAATGAGGCATCATGGGGGATAAAAACAAACACATTGCTGAATATTTCAAATGATCATTCCAAGGCTGCTATCTCATTCAGTCATCAGAAGAAACCGATAGGGTAAGTGCTATTATTTTTCTTTTCTTACACATGGGGGAAACTGAGGCTTAGAGAGGTAAGATTACTTGCCACAGGGGACCACACGTAAGAGGTAAATGAGGAGAATTTAAAGCCAGTCTGCCTCCCTCTTCAGCCCATTCTCTGAATATCATAGTTCAGAGTAGATAGTGTAGCCTCCACGAATCCCTATTGTGGCTATAGCAGGGGACAGTGTATTGTTCTTTTTCTAGGAGACATTTTTGGAGTGGGGGTGGGAAGGTAGTCAACGAAATTTACTAACTCACACAACTCTCCCTATCTCGTAGGCATTTCTCCATGAAAAAAATAGCTCTAAAAACAGCTAGAGGAGATGTCTGCTTATTATAACTGGCCTCTGCCAAAGGCTTACTTTTAATTGTTATAGAGCCAGGTCAGTTATTCCTTTGACTGTGGAAATAATAAGATGGTTATAAAATGCAGCTTTGGTATGGTTTCCTTGCAAGAAGTTCACATTTTCTATCAAGAAAATAATTCTGTGTGTATGGAAGTGTGTGCCTAAGAGTTTTTGAGTGCAGATAAAATTGTTTTGATGCCTGAATTCTCACAAAGTTTAGCCAAAATATCCAGGTACTTCCAGGCTACTGTCAATATTGGGATTGCTCCTTCTCATTCCTCCATGTGGCAGGACTTTTAAAGAGGAAAAAAGGACTGAGTTTAGAGTGCTGAAATAACAGCCCGATTATAATTTTTGTCAATTTACCACTTGGACGTTTATTCTCTCCTTCCCTATATATTCCAACTCCTTGCTCTTTTTGCATTGTAAAATATAGTATTTTTAGGATTATACACCATATGCTAATCTTTTACCCACTCTTCAGTATCACAACTTTCTTTCTCTGTGGGGAGGAAAAATCCCTGTCCCCTTTCTGTCTTCTTGCCTTTTGATTCTATTTGCCATAGTCTAATTGACACCCCAAGGTCATCAGCCCCTGCCTTTGTGCTAGGACACGCAAACCACCCAGGCCAATCCCTAACCTGTTTTTTCAAAAAACCTCCAATCAGAGAGAATCCACGACTTCCTTTTGTGAACTGTTGCACCGTGCAATTGCACACTATAAATGTCTTTCCTTATCTGTGTGTACTCTTATCTCACTGTTCTATTTTTTCTCCTCATTTATATTAACTCTTTCTTACCTTTTTTTCTGAACTTCTAGGCCTTCTCTTTCCAGAACTGGTGGAAGACAAATGAAACGGCCAAGATGGTAAGGTGAGTAGTTCCTGGGAACGCTTGTGCTCTAACCCCAAGTTATGTGGGATGGACACTCGAGGGGTGATGGCATTCCTCATTTTACAAGTTACTTGCTTGGCTGCGGCTGCTCCACCAAGATAGCAAACATTCTCGATCTTTTGAACTTCATGAGACTGACATTTCTGAGTCTGTTTGCGAACAGGACACTAGAGGGCTCCCAGGGGTTAAAAATAAGTGGAAATTTATTTGAATGAAAACTGATTCTCTACGGCATTTCTTTTTTCCGAATTTAAAATTAAAGTTTATTTTGTTAACTATTGTTTTTAAAAGCTTTGTATCTCTTAAAACCATGCAGCAGTCAGTTTCCAAGTTTTGCTTTGCAATCAGTAGTTTTCAAGGGAGCTTTTAAAGCTGAACTGAAATGTTTGAAATGTGGAACACTCTTGACCATGAAATATGTTCTACTTACATGCCTCAGCCTTTAAAAGTTCTTTGCATTAGAGTCAAGGATTACATTCTTCCTGGAGCCAAGCATGGGGCCAGCTGTGTAAGTAAGGTTGCTTACGAGTTTCTTCTTTTTCTTTTTAATAGTGAAAAAACAGAACTAGAGATGCTTTTATTTTCTTTCAGCTGACTTCGGTGGAAAGAAAAGAAATAAAAAGCAGTCAGAGTTGTGTTGTGTTGTGTGTGTGTATGTGTGTGAGAGAGAGAGAAAGAGAGAGAGAGAGAGAAACAGAATAAATGCAACTGCTTCCAAGATATATGGACATTTATGGCTTTGTATTATACTAACAATGTAAGCTAATGGAACATATTATTAATATGAAGTACAATTTGTACCTTTAGACTAAGAGAATATGTTTCTAAATTTTATTGTTAATACTTGCTGCTTGTACTTAGTTAATTCAGGACTTTAAAAAATAAAAATGGTATAGGTATAGAGTATTAAAAAATTATCTATTACTTGTCTTAAGTTCTTTCTGAATTTCAAAAAGGAAAAGCCCAGGTTTGTCACATTTTAACGCTTTTGCTTCAGAGTCAACTTAAATGACTCTAGGTACAAGTTATAAAACACTCTTGGATTTTTGTGGCTTGTTTTCACTACTTTCAAGTGACTATCAAATCTATACATCTATCTCGTTTGCATGCTTTTAAATTTTATTTTTAAAAACATTTAGTGGTGATATTTATGAAAGGAAATGATTACTTTTTTTCTTGACTCTTGTAGAGGAACTTAAATGGTTTGAAATTGTGACTCAGTTAACTCTGTATCCATTCATTCCCAGAAACAAGCCGCATTTCTCCTTGGGGAGACTGATAATTTAAAAGGTTTGTTGTGTCAGAAACATTCCCAGCTTCATCACCAACCCTTTCCTTCCACCTCTGCCCACTGGAGACCACTTATATCCCGAAGCGGACGCGGCAGCTGAAGTCAGGAAACCATGCATCACATTAGCAGGAGCCAACTGCAGACTTTAAACTCCGTTCAACATGTGGATGCGGCAGAGAAATGACCTGTCCAGACAAGCCGGGGCAGCTCATAAACTGGTTCATCTGCTCCCTGTGCGTCCCGCGGGTGCGTAAGCTCTGGAGCAGCCGGCGTCCAAGGACCCGGAGAAACCTTCTGCTGGGCACTGCGTGTGCCATCTACTTGGGCTTCCTGGTGAGCCAGGTGGGGAGGGCCTCTCTCCAGCATGGACAGGCGGCTGAGAAGGGGCCACATCGCAGCCGCGACACCGCCGAGCCATCCTTCCCTGAGATACCCCTGGATGGTACCCTGGCCCCTCCAGAGTCCCAGGGCAATGGGTCCACTCTGCAGCCCAATGTGGTGTACATTACCCTACGCTCCAAGCGCAGCAAGCCGGCCAATATCCGTGGCACCGTGAAGCCCAAGCGCAGGAAAAAGCATGCAGTGGCATCGGCTGCCCCAGGGCAGGAGGCTTTGGTCGGACCATCCCTTCAGCCGCAGGAAGCGGCAAGGGAAGCTGATGCTGTAGCACCTGGGTACGCTCAGGGAGCAAACCTGGTTAAGATTGGAGAGCGACCCTGGAGGTTGGTGCGGGGTCCGGGAGTGCGAGCCGGGGGCCCAGACTTCCTGCAGCCCAGCTCCAGGGAGAGCAACATTAGGATCTACAGCGAGAGCGCCCCCTCCTGGCTGAGCAAAGATGACATCCGAAGAATGCGACTCTTGGCGGACAGCGCAGTGGCAGGGCTCCGGCCTGTGTCCTCTAGGAGCGGAGCCCGTTTGCTGGTGCTGGAGGGGGGCGCACCTGGCGCTGTGCTCCGCTGTGGCCCTAGCCCCTGTGGGCTTCTCAAGCAGCCCTTGGACATGAGTGAGGTGTTTGCCTTCCACCTAGACAGGATCCTGGGGCTCAACAGGACCCTGCCGTCTGTGAGCAGGAAAGCAGAGTTCATCCAAGGTAACAGATTCACATGCTTCGTTATTTGCAGCTGTTGGGGATTCTGGTTCATTTTCTTTTTTCCCTCACTCTCTTTTTCTAAATGATTTTTCTCCACCCACGGTTCACATTTGGACAGCAGCAGCAGCAGCGTGTCTTTCCATGCGCTTGGCATTCTTTATTTTCCCAGCCTGGGAGGATATGAGAGTTCCAGGGAAATGCTGTATTGGACATGCAAGAGTAAGCCCATACTGTATAATCTTTGCTCTCCATTTCCCTCGCTTCACTTCCCAGTGGCTTATTAAATCTAATTAAAGCCAACGGCAATTTGCATGATGAGGAGAGGAAGCTAGGCTGGAGGCAAAGAACTTGCTGACAGTCAGGCATACTATTAAATAGGTTACTATGGGAGGAAGTAGAAGTTTTTAAAAGTAAGGGGGAAGCGGGTTATCGTTCTTGAGCAGATGGAATCTTCTTAAGCCGCGCAGAGCCAGACCATGTTAGGTTTAACCCCCCCTTTTTTTTTCAATGGATTTAACCTCTTTATTTAACAAATAAAAAGAATGAGCAAAAATTGGTGATTTGTTCAGTATGTATACTAACTAGCTGTGTGGTTTTATCAAGCCCCTGACTATGATCTATTGAGTCTGTCTTTCAAGATTCTCCCGTCTTGGGTGACAAACATTTTGGCAGGTTCTAACACATGTAGCCAGTTACTGCAGTTGCCAGCAAAAGGACTGGTCTGCGGTCATGCCCATGCCATATAAAGGATATTCTCTGAATATTAAAGCTATTCCAGGGCTCGAATACAAAGTACAGTGAGTCAGTGGCTTATGTTTGAATGCAGAATGATGCCAGAAGTTACAACTTTGAATCCAGATTGGCCCAAGAGGCTAAAATGTACCCCAAAGAGATTATAAGCTGAAAGGATACTTAACTTTCTCCATGTTACCATGAAATTTAGCATTTCAGTGAGGTTCCCAGGGAGCCTAGAATGGAATGGATTAAAATCCCTGGGAGTGGCTGAGACCCAACTGCATTTCCAATGGCTTTAGCATTATAATTTCATTTTAAAATGGATACCCCTGGAAGTACCAGTGATTTACTTAGAAAAATTGGACATTCCCTACTGATGGTGGTTCTTGTCTAAGTGCTCCAGATTCACAGGTATGCTTTGATGTCTCAAGTTTATAAAGCAGTCCACCACAGTTATGCCAATGTAAGAAACCTTCTCAAACATTTAATCTAATGTTGATAAAAATGAATTTTTATTGGGTGCCCACAATTTGCTAAGGATTATACAAATTGATTCATATGTGTTGGCTCCTAGAATTTTCATAACAATGCTATGAAGTGGGGACTATTATTATTTCCATTTAGTAGATGAGAAAATTGAGGCTTATTGAGACAAAGTAATTGGCCTCAACTCCCACAGCTAGTAGGTGGCTAAGCTGGGTTTTGACTATAGACCCAGCAAACTTCAGAACATAACTTCTTAGCCACTGGACTTAGGTGAATATGTAACTTATTATCCAAACTGGAACCGTGTGGCGTGAAAGGAGATGCTGGTGGGCATTGGGACAACAGGCCCACACTGACTGTTCTGAGCAGAGTAGAGCACAGGATCCCCCTTGTTATGCTGAAATCCCATTCATTTTCATGTCATAAAGGCCCCAGAGAGGAGAAGATGAACTCCTGTGTATATCCTGAGGCAGAGTTCTCTGATATGTCCTTTGAGCTTCCCTTAGACGCTCTTAGACTACTGTATTGGGAGAATGCAGTAGTGGCTAAGAGCCTGGGCCGTGGAGTTGGACTGACTAGGTTTGAACTTACCAATCATACGACTTGGAAATGTTGCCATGTCTCTTTATGCCTCAGTTTCCTCAGCTGTAAAATGACAATACTGCCTACCATATGAGATTGTTGTTAGTTAATACAGGGAAAACACTTAGAACCAGTATTTGCCACAAGATAAACCTTCAATAAATATTGGTTATTATTATTATTATTGTACCAAGCACATGAGGTACCAAGTTCATTGAATTCCTCACATAATCTCCAAGTCTCATGTGTTACTTCGTTACGTGATAGGACTATGACTAAAACTGCTCAATTAAACTTTTGTAATCCCAATCCCTCTTAGATATTTAATTCTTTGCTCTGAATTTCCAGCATCTTTGAGAACAAAAATTCATTTGAAGGCGGGGTTTATGATCTCAATATAGCCTGGATATTTCTCTCTCCTTTCATATGGTAGTGGTGATGGAAATAAACTAATAAAGCTATACTAATATGACTCAATTTAATAAATAAAATCCCTAAGATTATATCTCAAACAACATTCTGTCTTTGATACCTTCTTCTACTTAGTCATTTAGAGTCACAAAGTCAGGCCAGTTTCTCCAGGGGCTCATGAAATGATTTCATATAGTTATGAATACTCTACACAATGTAATTCTACTCAAGCAGACTGTTACAGTGTTGCAAAGTACATAAATAGACCACTTCTGGTCATGGTATAGACAGCATTAGGTTCTCAGTATCTCTACCCATCCACCTATTTCTAGTCTTTTTCTCACTGTGTCTTTCTTCCCTGATTTCCACGGAAGCGTGTAGCTTTCTTCTAGGGCACTGCTATTCTGTTGGTCAGAGTTTGACTTTATTTGAGCCTTGCAGCCCACCCAGGGAGGCAACAGATCTTACCTAGTTACCCAGCATCTTTTTCAGCTTGCTCTATATCATTATATTATATAATACATATTTGTATTATAATCATTTATTTAATCATCTGTTCCTTCCCACTACTCTCTAGGTCAGTGAAGGCAAAGATACTTCCTGTTTTCTTTAGAATTGCATTTCTGGATCTTAGCAGAGAGTCTGGCCCATAGTAGATGCTCAATAAATATTTTGAATGAATGAAGGAATGCGTTCATTGCTTGTTCCTTGGACTCTAAACAGTAAAACTATACTGGAAGCCACCAGCTTCTAATACTTAGGACGTGTAATAACATTTTTAGTCTTAAGTCCAGGCTGGGCTTTCTCCTGGAGGATCTCATAAGGAATTCATTGTGGAGGTAATAAAAAATGTTTTTGGTAGCCTCCTTACAATGCAAATGAAAGGTTTACAGGGCTTATTCTTGTGAGAACTATCAGTGTGGTGTGTTGGCATCACACTCTAGTGTAATTCGATAATGAGTTTTCTGCAGGAGGAACAATAGGATTTAATTTAGGTATATATTTCTCTGATGACCTGGCTTGGTCTGGGAGTAGATCTTTTAATATTTGAGAGAGTGAGAAGCCAGCAAAGCCTGTAAGTAATCTACCCTAAATGTTGTTTCTGTTCTGACTTTTGATTAATGTTTATAAAAATAAATTTATATCTGGCACCAAGAAAGTGGTTAGTCTGTGTTGCAAGTTGAATTTAGATATTTAAGTTGTCTTAGTTAATTTTTCTGAGAATCCTATGCAGTAGACTTTTTAAACCTCATTTTAGAGATGAAAGAAAGGCAAGAAGACTGCTCAAGGTCATGTGATGAGTTAGTTGTCCAGCAAAAATTTTTGTCTTCTAACTTCCAGTCTTTTCTCTTTTCATAAATCTGCGTCCCTCAACAAATCCTTTAGGGGGCCCTAAGGTACATCGTCTTTCTCTATCACCACAGCCTACTAGAAAGTTTAGTTATAAATAACTAAATATATAAATATAATGAAACAGATGACTTATACACTGATGCACAGATATAGCCATGGGAACCTCCTTTTTTTCCTCAAGGAGACAAAAAAACCTTAACCATGGCTAAGAGTTATTGAGTTTTCCTAGATATATATACCAGGTACCATTCTAAGTACTGTGCTTGCATTATTTCATTAAATCCTCATACAAATTCTACCAGCTGCACCCAGATGTCATTATGCCTGGGGACTCTTACAAACATTTAACAAATATGGAAGTTGAGGCCCAAAGTAATTATGAAATGGATATGTGATGTGAAAAGGGAGGTGTAAGAAGGAATCAAATGCTGTGATTTGAATGATCTGCCTGCCCCAGCCTTTCAGATAAAGCTCTCTGTTGATTTAATCAAATGACAAAGAGTTCCAATTATAAAGCTCATCTTTAGGTTTTTTCTAAATTGGCAGGACTGGTGTGGGTGATCCAATCAGCTAGCTCAGTTTAATCTGGGACAAGATCTTGATTGTGTGACTTGATGAGTTCTAGATGATTCTTCTTAAATACAAAAAGATGTGTGAAATTAGTGGACTTACTGGTATTGTACTTTATAACAGACTATTTTCTGACAGGTTATGCTCCAAGATATCCTAGAAAATGAGAAGGGTGCACTTGAGGAAGGGCAAGATAGTAATTAATTAGGCAGAGCCAGCAGTGTGCCACAATATAAGATCCAGCAGTTACCACTGGAGCAGATTTTCGTCCTGTATGTTTCTGTGTAGGAAGTCTTAAAATGAATTAAAATATAGCATCAAAGGGCCTTAAAATGTTTGTGTGCAATAATGAAGTATTTTTCAATTGTGACAAAGAATCTAGTGTGATGTATCACATAGTATACACACTGTATTTGATGTGTGTTGTCTATTATACATACCTAACAATTTTACATAGCAGATATTACTCTTATTTTAAATAGGGGAATCCTGAGGCTCAGTGAGCTTATAAAATGTGCCCTACGTCACCTACCTAGAGAGCAATGAAATTGGAATTTGTGCCCAATTCTGTCTCTGACACTGAAGTTTCCTCACGTTGCTTCTGTTAACCCACACTACCTCACAAATATAACTTACTACAATTATGGGATAATGTCAAAAATGTGCAAATTTTAGCATGATGGTTTCTGATTTTACCACTATGCCAACATTTCTATTTAATTTCTTTTTTCTATTCAATAATCTAACATTGACAATATTTTTACTCAAGTGCAGTATTGATGTATCATTATGAACACTGCTACAAGTTTTTTTAATGCAAACCAAGGTGCCAGTGCTTACCAGATTTTCTTGTTTACCATAAACAATCACATGTGTATCAATGTGATGAACATATTTGTTTTCTGCCAAATTGTCCTTGCAAGAGTCTCAAATTATTATAAAAGTCACCAGATACTGTGTGGTCCTGATACATTTCGATAATTTAAAAAGTGAAAATATCCTAAAGTATTTATCTAGCATTAGACAAAGCAGACTATGTCCATGTAAAAATCAAGAAAATAAAAAAAGAGAAAACCAAGCACCGTTCTGTGATCTTTGATTTAGCAGCTTTGCCAGAGCTTCCCCTGTAGTCTGCACAGTAGTGTGAATGAATCTCGAGGGACACCATTTTGGTAGCATTTAAGCATTGTACTATTTTTCATGCCCAGCATGGAAGATGTATTATGTATGCTTTATTTTTAGGATGCTGTTTTATTGCCACAAAGCTGTCAGACTGAATTAAGGTAGCCTAGTTCCAAGAATTCTGTATGTCAATGCTGCTTAGTTGACAAACTGCAGGCACCCCACACACTTCCATTTAAATTCATTGTAGATCCCAAGTTGCTCACTGTTTTCCAACTTGTATTGCCTCTTCGTATTATAAAGTAGGAGAAATATATGGTATGTTTTTCACTCTCTTTTCAAGCCTATGTGAGCAGCACTGTGAGTTCTGGGTGAAAGTGCAGTTGCCGAGGCAGGGGGATGTCAGCTTTGCATTTTATATTGTTTCAGGCTTTCAGGTAAGGACACAGTCGTTTTGCAGGGAGTGTTGAGAATAACACAGATGTCCTCACAACTTGCGAACATACTGGCTTCCAAATCCTAGAAATCTTTGACATATAGGCAAACTTTCTGAAAATATTTATTTAGGAGTGTGTAATCATGTTTTATTTTTTAAAAAGTTGGATTGAAAGTATGTTGTGTTCTTCCTCAGAAAAGCCCTAAGGCTATTTCTTTATGAATCAAATTGAGCTGGTCAGCTTAATACATTCATTCATCAGTGAACAAAAGTTTACTGAGCCTCGGCTCTAAGCAGCGCTGTGCTCCAGTGTCCTCTTATTTGCTCACTACATAACTTCATAGGCAAACGGGGAACCGGGCAACCTTCTCTGCTGTGCTTCTGTAATTTGTCCTTGGTCCCACACTCTGCTGGGATAAAAGGGGTGATTAATGGTTACCACAGTACCCACAGCATAAAAGATGCATGTGCCTTAACTCCATGCAATCTATCGTCTTCTATAGGATCACATTTATCTTTTCTTCCTTTAACATGTATTTATTGAGCATCTACTATGTGCTAGCCACTATTCTAGTCACTGGGGCTGCATCAGTGAACAAAACGGTCAGGAATCTCTGCTCTCGTGGCACTGACACTAGAGGGCCATGTGTGAGTTCAGTGTTCTGGAGGAAATCTTCCAGTCACCGATGTGAGGATTCACTAAGAACCTTCCCAAGCTCAAGGAGGTGGGCTCTTCAGTGGGAGTGAATCTGCTGCTGTCTCTGAGTTGATGTAAGGACCACACAGGTGCAGGAGTGCTAGATAGCTCTTTTTACCTAAGTTAAAAAAGAATTGTTACAGTTCCAATGTGTTTGTAATCAATTCAATTCAGTAGCATTTTTATGTGTGAGGCACTGCCCCGGATACTAGGGAAAAGTGGTACAGTTTGTAATTTAAATAGCTTTGTGTTTGGGGGTGTGGACGGGCAATGTAGACTCCTTGCAGGTGAATTCTGATTCTGCCACTTGCTAGCTAGGTGACCTGGGATAAGTTACTTAATATTTTTGTGCTTTATATTTTATTAGCATAATAGGGATAATGACAATAAAAACAATGATGATAACATTACTTACCTTAGAGTTGTCATGAGAATGAAATGAGTTAATATGTATAAAATATAACATTGCTTAACGCATACTAACACTCTTTTTTTTTTTTTTTCTGAGACAGAGTCTTGCTCTGTCGTCCAGGCTGGAGTGCAGTGCTGTGATCTCAGCTCACTGCAACCTCTGCCTCCTGGGTTCGAGCAATTCTCTTGCCTCAGCCTCCTGAGTAACTGGGATTACAGGTGCCTGTCACCACGCCCGGCTAATCTTTGCATTTTTAGTAGAGACAGGGTTTCACCATGTTGGCTAGGCTGGTCTCAAACTCCTGACCTCGTGATCCACCTGCCTTGGTTTCCCAAAGTGCTGGGATTACAGGCGTGAGCCACTGTGCCCAGCTAACACTCTTGAGTGCTACCTTTTTCATACCATTTCTAAGCTGATGTAGCTCTTTATGATATGCTTCTTTAGATTTTCTTAGTTGGTTTATCCAGATTGATGTTTACTTGAGTAGAATAAATGGGCACCTAAAATTTTCATTTAAAGAAGGACCTTGGAGCTTATAGTGGATAATAACGAGATCTCTTATTTGTGGAGTGCTAGGCAGTTTGCATCCATTATCTTATTAAATGTCACAACAGTCCCCTACATCAGATAATCTTGTACACATTTCCTGAGGGGAAACTGAGGATGAAAGAATAATATATGTTCCCTGAAAGCCTACAGGTAGCGTGCAGTAGGGCTGGGATACAGACATGGGTCAAGAGGACTCAGCCTCATTCCTCAAAGCTGTGCCTTACTGCCTCCCGCTATCCCTTCACATCATGTGTGAGCGTCCAATGACTGTAGCATGGGGCTTTCCCAGTTAATCATCCATCCAGATTGCAACCACTTTTCCCATTGCCTTGTCGCCTGATCCCTGAATGTAGCCATGATGCCTAACTGTTCCCCTTTTCATGATAGTGATCTGGGGTCAGAAGGAGAGAGGCAGTAGTGTTTCCACCACCCCTATTTTCATCGTCCCAGTATATAAGAGATACATGGGAGTGGATAGTTGAGCACAAGCTGGACAGAATGAGGGCATCAAAACCTCTGCACATCCCTGTCTCTATGTCTCAAGTGTTTCTCTAATCCTTCCCAATTCGTATTGAGTGAAGACAGTGAAATTACACCTTACTAGGATGTCATGCCAGGCAAATTTTTATTCTGGGTCCATGGACCATTCCTTAGACTCTAAGAGCTATCCATGAACATTGGGGGATTCTGAAAAAATGCACTCAGAATTTTTGAGTGCTTGCTTTGTTCTAGACACTGCATCAAAAGTTGGAGATCCAGAGGACTAAGAAGTAGTCTCTGTTCTTCAGAGCTCTCAGCTTGGAAGACAGGAGACAGTGAAGCAAACCTACCTTACAAAAAATGTGTGATAAAAACCTCAATGGAGATATTTTTAGGAGGCCCTGTAGGCACAGAGAGGGAGAATTTAACCTAGAATGTGTATGTAGGGGGTTGAGTGGGAAATTATAAATACTTTTGGAAGAAGTAATGCCAGAACTGGTTCTTAAAAGTCACTGTGGGTGGTGTGAGAGATGGGATGGGTGCAGAAAGTATAGAGAGAATAGACTATGAAAAACGTGTGAAAGCAGAGTGTGTTCAGGAAATTGCAAATAGTTCGGAAAAACAACAGATTAGGGTTTAGGGGCACGATGTGAGTTAAGCTGTGGTAAGTGGAGAGTGAGTGTGTTTTATGTCCTGCAAGGAGCCTGGACTTTATCTTGCAGAAAATAGGGAGTCGCTGAAGGGTTTGAAGAAAGGGAGTGATGTCATGGGCTTTGCACTGTAAGAAGTAAGAAGATCACTGAGGTCAGGAATTCGTGGCTCCTTTAACTGGATTAACAAAGGCTAAATCGCCCAGGACTGAGTCACCCTGATGTGACCAAGATTTCATCTGCAAAATGTGATTGTAGAGTCTGGCACAGTGACCACATCATCACCACCCTCTGAAGTCAAATTTGATTCCTGTTTTTTAAAGTGGAATATTGAGACAGGAAGAGTCTTGGAGTTTCCATTTATACAGCAGAAGTTCAGGGCAGACCTAGAAAGCAGAAGTTCCTGCCCATTTGTCAGAACAAAGAAGAATGCCTTGTTTTCAGAGGAGAACTGGCGATTTAAGTTGTTTAGGTAGTTGGTGATGAATGAAGTCACAAGACATTCTCCTTTCCTGCTTCCTTGACTTCACACTTAGCTAACTCCTGAGGAAGTATGGAGATTATTTTAACTCAGTTAGGCCTAGAGAAAACAAACTATGAAGTGAAAAACAGTTAGATAAATAAATATATGAAACATATTTGGAATCACGCAGAGACCTGTTTCTTTTTTATTATTTAATTTAATTTTAAGTTGAAAAATAATATTTGTATATGTTTATGGGCACAATGTGATTATTTGATATATGTTTACAATGTGGAATTATTAAATTAGGCTAATTTAAAAATCCATCACCTTACTTATTTTTTTAAATTTAAATTTTAACTAATTTATTTTTTAGGCTTCTTCAAATCATAGGATGATTTTTTTTGGGTGAAACATTGTAAATATATTCTTTTAGTAATTTTGATATATACGTTATATTATTATTATAGTCACCATTCTGTGCAATAGATCACTAAAGCTTATCCCTCCTGTCTAACCGAAACTTTGTACCTGTTGATCAACACTTTTCCCATCTAACCCCCTCTCCCAGCCTCTGGTAGCCACCATTCTACTCTCTACTTTTGAGCTCAACTTTTTTAGATTCCACATATAAGAGAGGTCATGCAGTATTTGTCTTTCTGTGCCTGTATTATTTTGCTTAAAATAGTGTCATCCAGTTTCATCCATGTTGTCACAAATGACAGGATTTCTCCCTTTTTAAAGGGTGAATAATAGTACTCCATTATGTTTACGTAACAAAACACATTTTTCTTATCCATTTTCTGATGATGGACACCTAGGTTGCTTCCATATCTTAGCTATTATAAGTAGTGCTGCAGTGAACATGGGAGTGCAGACATCTCTTCGGCATACTGATTTCAATTCCTTTGGATAGATACCCAGAATTAGGATTACTGGATAGTATGGTAATTCTATTTTTAGTTTCCTGAGAAACTTTCATACTGTTTCCCATCATGGCTGTATTAATGCATATTCCAACCAGCAGTGCTAAGGGTTCCCTTTTCTCCAAACCCTCACCAACACTTGTAATCTTTTTGTCTTTTTGATCATAGCCCTTCTAACAGGGGTGAAGTCATATCTTATTGTGGTTTTAATTTGCTCCAGGACAAGTCCCTAGATTCAGGACTTGTTTGGCCATATAAAATCTATGCCTATGTAATCTACAGACTCCTACCTCCCCACCTACTGTTTTTAAAAATCATGAAAACCTTATGGAGGTTTATTTCTTTTCGCATTAAAGTTTTCCTTCAATGCGTTGTTGACAGTTGTGATGGGGCCCAACAGAATTTGTTTCCTATAACAAAGATGCCACTCAAGTTTGACTGGCTTTTGTTTTCTTCAATGGGTATTATAGAGTTGTTTTTAATGAAGGACTGGAGCTGGACTGTCACTTGCTTTTTATCTTGTTCACAAGGAGTCTTGGAACATGGCCCGTGCAAGAGAAAGAACTTTTGATTTCAGAGCTCAAGACTTTTCTTCTTATTTTTGCTCAGTGACAAATGCTCACAGACATTCATAGCTCCACCCAACATGCTTAGCATTCACCTATAATTCCACAAAACCGCTCAGCCAGTGCTCAAAGTGAAGGGCATTTAATAAATCTAGACAAAGAAGATTGTGTAAAGCACTCATTCTAAGTGAATTTTCATGTTCATCTTCTCAGAAGAATGTCTTCTTTGTGCTTTTGAATAAAAAACGACTTGGGAGAGCACCAAATTCAGCGGAAATATTCAGATTTCAGAAAAAAAGAAGCTTTCCTGGCAAGTCTCATTTTTTAGGACAGCTATATAACCTTTAATTCACATGAACACCCACATATCTTTTAAAACCCGCTTTCTCACCACTGTGACAGAATTTTATCTCTTCACTTGTTGAGATTTCTCTAGAGAGTCCAGTACTGCATCATTTTGACAAACCTGAATGTGGAGAGATGAATGCTTCTCATCTCTGAAACACTTCAGGGTAAGTTGCTTTAACCAGTTTCCTGTTTTCAGAGGCAATTTTTCTGTCATCTCTTCAAATCCATCCAGGTTCATTTAATTCTTTCAAAAGCCTTATATTAAAAGAGGTGGAATTCTCCTCAACAGTAGTACTCATTGCTCTGAGATCTGGAGTTATGCTGACTGCTATTATTACCTGCAAGGGCCACACACACGTATATGTAGCAAGAAGGCCTGTATGTGGAAAGGAACCACAGCCATCTGTGACTCAGTCTGTCTTACTGCTCACCATGCTTTCTTCTTGTTCTCTGGAAATCCCCTTTCCTGAGGTGCACTGATTTCTAGCAGGGCAGGAAAGAATGTCTTTATGCGATAGTTGGCATTCAAAATATTTTGCTGAGGGGAAATGGATGAATTGGGAGAAAAACATAGGCTATTAATTGAAAACCAATTATACTTATCAGCTGAACACTTTATTTGGCAGTTTGAGGACACCTTTTTAATGATTAGTATAGAAAATGTATCATTCCAAAAATTTGGTGATCTAAAATAGAGAAATGGTGACTGACATACAGCATACCCATAAACTAAATTAGGGGTTAATGTATAGCCTGTAGGCCAAAAATGGCCCACTGCCCATTTTTATTTTGTGAACTAAAAATAGTCTCTATAATTTTAAATGATTGACAAAAATCAAAAGATTAGTGATATTGCTATAACCCTTGAGACTCATATGAAATTTAAGTTTCACCATACACAATAAAATGTTAATGGAATAGTTACAACCACTTGTTTATATATTGTCCATGACTGCTTTTGGGCTACACTGGAGTTGAACGGTTGCATAGTTGAATAGTTGTGATATTTTAGGCCCTCAAAACCTAAAATATTTACTCTCTGCCTTTTATAAAATTTGCTGATCACTGGGCTAGATTATTGCATTACAATTAAAGTGGTACTATTTAAAAATAATTAAACAAAATATTTATAGTATAATATTTAGTGAAATAATTATGACAAACTCTACATACAAGATGATCCCAAATAGCTTTTTTTCTTTGCATAATTTTTGCCTCTTTCTCCTGGTAGAAATGTAAGCTCCATGAAAGCAAAAAACTTGACATTTATCTGTTTATATATGTAGCTGCAGGTTCTAGAACAGTGCTTAGTGCACAGTAAATGCTCAAGAAATGGTAAAGGTCAGTTGAAGCCTGATGAATTATGTGATTATGTGATGTATATATGTAATAATCATCAGAGCAAAACCTTTCTGGGGCATGTGTTTATGTTAGGCACCATGCTGTGAATTTTAGAGGCACGATCTCATTTCTTCCTGATAAGGTCAGTTTTGAATGTATGTTGTTGCTTCATTTTACAGGTGAGAAAAACAAGGTTTAAAAAGGTTACATAACTTCTCTAACGTTACAAAATGAAGACATAATGTGACCAGATTTTGTTGGATTCCAGAGTCTGAGCTCTAACCATAAGTTATACTCCTTAAAAAAAATTCTAGAAGCAGTTTACCTATTCAGATGAGAAAGAAAGGGATAGAAAAATAACTGGAAGTAAATATACAAATAACAACCAATTACTGGGAGATGAGGTTATAGGTGATTTTTATTTTCTTAGCTATACATTTTTATGTTTTTCTATATTTCATGAAATGAGTGGATTTACCTTTAATTAGTTTTACAATTAGAAACAAATGTTTCTAAAGGGAAGAAAAACAGCCCAGCAGGTTTCAATTGTTTATGTAGATCAATTTCCATATTTCTCCAAAGGCCTTATATGAATTGCTGAGGAAACTGCTGTCCTTCTGACCCGCGTGTTGATTTGTGTTGAAGTTCACTGTTAGGTTTCAACTCCCTTTGATTACTTTCTAGCCCTGAGCATGCAAAGTGCTGTTTGTGTGCATATAACTTTGGTTCAAAGACACTAATAGAAAGAGCTTCTTGGTGTTTGTTTTTAGACGCCTGAAGTACACACGTTTGGAGGCTGTGTGTGTGTTTTCTATTTGTATTTGGTTATACTGGCCCAGTGCTGTCTTCCACAGCATGATGGATTGCTTTTACCTGGAATTTATTCTTTTAAAATAAATTGGCATGGTACTTGGGATATACACATTTAAAATTATCTGATATCTAAGAAGATAATTAGGCCCCAGGAACCCCAAATCATTTACTAAGGTAAAAAGACATTGGAAGGAGAGAGAGAGTGCTACAAATGAAGCTTTTTTGTTATGGCTCACATTTCTTTCTCTACTCTTCTCTTAGTTTTGTATCAATGATTGTGGCATATTTTCCATAATCCAATAGACTTTCCACATGCCCTGGCCTACATTGCAAGGCTAAAGGGAGAAAGATTTTTCTTTGAACAGAACTAGAATGCAAGTGATTAGAATGATTTAAGTGAATGCTATTCAAACTATTAAGGTTAGTATAACACCAAACTCAGGAGTGGTTTGAGAGGGGGACTGTTTCCTGTGTTAAAGACCGGAGATAAGAATTCTACAAGATGGCAAGACAGTAAGGTGGCAAAATAAAAGTTTCTAATAGGCCATAAAGTTATATATTGAGAACATGTAAGTTTCTAATAGGCCATAAAGTTATATATTGAGAACATGTAAGGCTATTTAAGAGAGGTTTTAAAAATTCCTGTGACAAGTCTGAACATTCTGGTTGTAATTTCAGAGGCCTCTGTTGTTCAGACGTGTTAAGAATGAGTTAAGTGGGCTTTATTGGATCTTTGTAATTTAGTTGTTTTTATCAGGCACATCATTCTGATTTTTGAGTTATAAGCAAAGTTGCTCCACACCATCTCTTTGTGACTTTATTGGGCAGAAATGGGGGCTTGGGAATGATGTTATTGGTTTTAAGCTTAAAGTGTTGTTTAATGTGTCTGGATCATGGTCTTCCTTGTTTATGATTATTTCACTGGGGCTCATAATTCTTTGTAAAGTTTAGCAATTAAAGAAATTACATTTCTAAACTTCCAAGAGTGAGACAAAACAAATTGAGTGACAGGTTAAAAAAGATCATCTATGAACATGCAGTTGAAAAACTGACATTTGCTTAAATGCACTTTGTTGAGGTTATGTGTGAATAAATGATCCCTTACCAAGAGCACTGTTGTGCTTGCACAGTTTCTATCAGGAAAGAAAAAAACCTCTTGCCTCTTTTTTTCTGTCTTTGGAGATTATAGTGATTGGTGTGAACCATACAATTTCACTTTTAAATTTGCGACTTCTAAAAATTCTTTTTCTTCCTGACATCATAATGTGGCCTCAGAAAATCAGACAGTTGTTATTACAAATAAAGAGCAGCTCCACTCAGACATTGAATAGACAATTATAAATGTCTAGATTCTTTCCCTTTTTGTGGTGGCTGCTTTTAGATGTGGAATAAAACCACATTAACCATAGGACGTTGTTATTGGTGCTTAGTAGCCTATTCCTGCCACATCTATAAAATATCTCGTTTAAATTTTTTTTCATTGTCTAACAATAACTTTCTGCTTTATGAGACTTCAAACAGGAAGCATTGAGGTATGAAAGTATTAAAACCAGAAGACAAAGAGATCATAAAATATTGTCAGATTAAACTCTCACATTTGATAGGTGAGCGTGAGACTGTGAAAGAGTGAACGACCTGCTCAAAGACACACCCTGAGTCAATAGTGTGCTGAAAGTGTGTTTGTTTTTCTGATTCTATAGATGGCCGCCCATGCCCCATCATTCTTTGGGATGCATCTTTATCTTCAGCAAGTAATGACACCCATTCTTCTGTTAAGCTCACCTGGGGAACTTATCAGCAGTTGCTGAAACAGAAATGCTGGCAGAATGGCCGAGTACCCAAGCCTGAATCGGGTTGTACTGAAATACATCATCATGAGTGGTCCAAGATGGCACTCTTTGATTTTTTGTTACAGGTAAGTTTATCAAATCAAGCAAATAGTTATCTAAGACTGGCGCTGAGTTATATTAGCCTGACACTAAGGAATGTTCAGCACCTGGAGTTTTTATGAAGCTGGTGATAACTTCTATTAGCTTGGTGCAAAAGTAATTGTGGTTTTGGCCATAATGGCCAAATGTAGATGAGGCCTCCAGGTAGCAGGCTTCAGAGAGAATACATTATAAATGTTTCTTATCAGACTTAAAGAGGTACCAGACTCTTAACCTCTCCTGGAGCAGGAAAAAGATCTGGAAAGGGAAGGGGATTCTCTACAGAATGTAGATTTTCCGCACAAGGGACAGCTTGGCAGGGCCATTTCAAAATATATCAAAGAAATACATCTTGGGGTAAAATACTTTGATTTCTTTCAGGGCCCACTGTCTGCCATGTTGGTATCTTATTGCTACAAAGAGAATCTGCTTTGTCGATCTTAAGTTCTGTTTTAATGTTAATGCCGGTCAACTGTGCCTGAATTCCAAAGGGAAGAATGTATAAGGAGGCATGCCCAACCACCCATTGCCATCATGGCCTGAACTAGTGTTCAGGTTTACTTTTATTTTTTAATTTTAATTTTTTTAAATTTCAATAGGTTTTGGGGGGACAGGTGGTGTTTTGTTACATGGGTACATTATTTAGCGGTGATTTCTGAGGTTTTGGTGTACCCATCAACTGATCAGTGTACACTGTACCCAATGTGTAGTCTTTTATCCCTCACTCTCCTCCCATTCTTTCCCCTGAGACCCCAAAGTCCATTGTATCATTCTTATGCCTTTGCATCCTCATAGCTTAGCTTCCACTTATGAGTGAGAACATACGATGTTTGGTTTTCCATTCCTGAGTTACTTCACTTAGAATAATGGTCTCCAATTTTATCCAGGTTGCTGCAAATGCCATTATTTCATACCTCTTTATGCATCAGTAGTATTCTATGGTATATATATACCACATTTTCTTTATCTACTTGATTGATGGGCATTTGGTCTGGTTGCATATTTTTGCAATTGCAAATTGTGCTGCTATAAACATGCATGTGCAAGTGTCTTTTTTGTATAATGACTTCTTTTCCTCTGGGTAGATACACAGTAGTGGGATTGCTGGATCAAAGGGTAGATCTACTTTTAGTTCTTTAAGGAATCTTCACACTGTTTCCCATAGTAGTTGTACTAGTTTACATTCCCACCAGCAGTGCAAAAGTGTTCCCTTTTCACCACATCCACGCCAACATCTGTTATTTTGTATTATGGCCATTCTTCCAGGAGTAAGGTGGTATCACATTGTGGTTTTGACTTGTATTTCCCTGATTATTAATGATGTTGAACATTTTTTCATATGTTTGTTGACCATTTGTATATCTTATGAGAATTATCTATTCATGTCCTTAGCCCACTTTTTGATGGGATGGTTTCTTTTTTTTTTTTTTTTCTTGCTGATTTGTTTGAGTTGCTTGTAGATTCTGGATATTAGTCCTTTGTCATGCATAGTTTGCAAAGATTTTCTCCCACTCTATGGGTGGTCAATTTACTCTGCTGATTATTTCTTTTGCTATGCAGAAGCCTTTTAATTTAATTAAGTTCTATCTATTTATCTTTTTTGTTGTTGTTGCTGCAATTTGCTTTTGGGTTCTTGGTCATGAAGCCTTTGCCTAAGCTGATGTCCAGGAAGGTTTTTCAGATGTTATCTTCTGGAATTTTTATGGTTTCAGATTCTATATTTAGGTCTTTCATCCATCTTGAGTTGATTTTTGTATAAGGTAAGAGATGAGGATACAGTTTCATTCTTCTACATGTGGCTTGCCAATTATCCCAACACCATTTGTTGAATAGGGTGTCCTTTACCCACTTTATGTTTTTGTTTGCTTTGTCGAAGATCAGTTGGCTGTAAGTATTTGACTTTATTTCTGGGTCCTCTATTCTGTTCCATTGGTCTATGTGCCTGTTTTTATACCAGTATCATATTGTTTTGGTGACTATAGCCTTATAGTACAGTTTGAAGTCAGGTAATGTGATGGCTCCAGATTTGTTCTTTTTGCTTAGTCCTGCTTTGACTGTGTGGACTCTGTTTTGGTTCTATGTGAATTTTAGGAGTCTTTTTTTCTAGTTCTGTGAAGAGTTATGGTGGTATTTTGATGGGAATTGCATTGAATTTGTAGATTGCTTTTAGCAGGATGGTCATTTTCACAATATTAAGTCTACCCATCCAAACTCACATTGGATGTGTTACCATTGGTTTGTGTCACCTATGATTTCTTTCAGCAGTGTTTTGTAGTTTTCCTTGTAAAGATCTTTTACCTACTTGGTTAAGCATATTCCTAAGTATTTTATTTTATTTTTTGCAGCTATTGTAAAAGGGGTTAAGTTCTTGATTTGATTCTCAGCTTGGTTGCTGTTGGTGTATAGCAGAGCTACTGATTTGTGTACATTAATTTTGTATCCCGAAGCTTTACTGAAGTCATTTATCAGTTCTAGAAGTTTTTTGGAGGAGTCTTTAGGGTTTTCTAGATATACAATTATATAATAGTGAACAGTGACAGTTTGACTTCCTCTTTACTGATTTGGATGTCCTTTATTTCTTTCTATTTTCTAATTGCTCTGGCTAGGATTTCCAGTATTATGTTGAATAGAAGTGGGGAAAGTGGGATCTTTGTCTTGTTCCAGTTTTCAGGGGGAATGTTTTTAACTTTTCCCCATTCAGTGTAATGTTGGCTGTGGGTTTATCATAGATGGCTTTTATTACCTTAAGGTACGTCCCTTCTATGCCAGTTTTGCTGTGGGTTTTAATCATAAATGGATGCTGGATTTTGTCAAATGATTTTTCTGCATCTGTTGAGATAATCATGTGGTTTTTGTTTTTAATTCTGTTTATGTGGTGTATCTCATTTATTGACTTGCTTGCATATGTTAAACCATCCTTGTATCCCTGGTATGAAACCACTTGATCATGGTGGATTATCTTTTTGGTATGCTGGATTGGTTTAGCTAGTATTTTGTTGAGGATTTTTGCATCTTTGCTCATCAGGGATATTGGTCTGTAGTTTCCTCTTTTTTTTTTGTTGTGTCCTTTCCTGGTTTTCCTATTGGGGTGATACTGACTTCATAGAATGATATAGGGATGATTCCTTCTTTCCCTATCTTATAGTGGAATAGTGTCATAGGATTGGTTACAATTCTTCTTTGAATGTCTGGTAGAATTCAGCTGTGAATCCATCTGGTTCTGGACTTTTTTGTTAGCAATTTTTTAATTACTGTATTAGTTAGGGTTCTCTAGAGGGACAGAACTAATACGTTTGATGTATATATGAAGAGTTTATTAAGGAGTATTGACTCACACAATCACAAGGTGAAGTCCCACAGTAGGCCGCCTGCAAGCTGAGGAACAAGGAAGCCAGTCCAAGTCCCCAAATCTCAAAAGCAAGGAAGTCGACAGTGCAGCATTCAGTCTGTGGCCAAAGGCCTGAGAGACCCTGGCAAACCACTGGTGTAAGTCCAAGACTCCAAAAGCTGAAGATCTTGGAATCTGATATTTGAGGGCAGGAACCATCCAGCATGGGAGAAAGATGAAGACTGGAAGATTCAGCAAGTCAGCTCCTTCCACCTTTTTTGCCTGCTTTATTCTAGCTGTGCTGGCAGCTAATTAGACGGTGCCCACCCAGATTGAGGGTGGGTCTGCCTCTCCCAGTCCACTGACTCAAATGTTAATCTCTTTGGCAACACCCTCACAGACACACTCAGGAACAATACTTTGCATCTTTCAATCCAATCAAGTTGACATTCAACATTAACCATCACAATTACCATTTGAATACTACTGCTTGTTATTGGTCTGTTCAGAGTTTGTATTTCTTCCTAGTTCAATCTAGGAGGGTTGTATATATCCAGGAATTTGTCCATCTCCTCTAGGTTTTGTAGTTTTGCGTGTAAAGGTGTTCATAGTAGCCTTGAATGATCTTTTCTGTTACTGTGGTATTGGTTGTAGATTGCCCCAGGCTTAGAGGTCAATTCAGTTGGTTGGGGGCTTAGAATTTTATTTTTGGTTCACATTATCCTGCAATAATCATACTCATCATAGCTACCATTTATTGAGGTATGAGGAATAGTCTTACCCCATTTGGGAGGTGAGTAAACTGAGGTTTGATGAGGTTAAGTATCTCACTCAAGTTCTTACAACCACTGAAGGCTGGAGCTGGGATTTGTTGGGATCTGTTGATGGTAAAGTGTCTTCTTTCCAACATTCCATACTGTGTTTCAATGGTCAGTTGGCCATGTAACTTATTTTCCTTATTTTCTTTCCAGTTAAATTTATCGCAAATTTTTCATGAAGATTCTGCATTAGAGAATAATAAATATTGATCATCTACATAATTGTGTGACTCCTCACATTTTATAAGGCTTTCTTATGACTCTTTTCTCCCTTTGATAAATATCTCAGGACTTTCTCCACCCCCTTATTCTGATTACTCCCTTTCCCTTCGCCCATTTTAGAAAAAAACTTTTCCGTTGTTGCATTGTTAACTAGTATCTTGTGGAAATTTAGGATGGCCTTAGAACATTTGGGAAACATTATCCTTTTGTTAGTTCATTATTTTATGAGTGTGAGTAGGAGGAAGAAATTGCAGAGGGACAAAAATGTAGGAAGAAAACCAGTTTAGCACAGAGTCACAGTCTACGAAATAGGAACTTTGATGGAGGAGAGAAGGATCTCTGATGTCAGTGGTGCAGAGACACCAGCAAGGACTGAACTGGGGAGTAAGACATTTGACTTGGCAAGGAGGTGGTCAGCAGCCACCAAGTTCTGCCTCCTTAAAGAGTGTTCAAGAGTCCTGCTATGGGGCTGTAACTGGTTTTAAGCATTATATATGCATTATCTCATTATTCCATTTTATTAATGTACTAGTTCTGTGAAGTAGGCATCCTTTCTCCATTTTATAGGTAGGACTGAAGCTCAGAGAAGTTATTATCAAGAACTATGAAGAGTCTGGGATTTTACTTTACTTGGAAGTTAACAAGGTAGTCTGCCACAGGTTGATAGACATTAGCAGAAGATATGAGACTCCTGGGTCAGAGACAAATGACTTTATTACTTATGATATAGTAGGTGGCATCAGTTTTATGCTCCCTTGCCTCTCAAGTTCTATTGGGGTGATAGAGTGGCCTTGGTGAATGCTTCAGATAGTGTGTTTATGTCACTGCTGAGAGACTCTAAGCTTAGGAAACCCCCCATTCTCTAAGGGGCTGCTAGTTAACCTGCCCAATATTTGCCTCAGATGGATACATTATCTTTATTATCTTTGTCAGGAAACAAATCTGCCCTTCATCTCAGAGGGAGATATTCTCTGGTGTGCTAACACTCTTAAAAATACATGCAGAGGCCGAGCGCGGTGGCTTACGCCTGTAATCCCAGCACTTTGGGAGGCCGAGGCGGGCAGATCACGAGGTCAGGAGATCGAGACCATCCTGGTTAACACGGTGAAACCCCGTCTCTACTAAAAATACAAAAAATTAGCCGGGCATGGTGGTGGACGCCTGTGGTGCCAGTTACTTGGGAGGCTGAGGCAGGAGAATGGCGTGAACCTGGGGAGGCGGAGCTTGCAGTGAGCCGAGATCGCGCCACTGCACTCCAAACTGGGCGACAGAGTGAGACTCCGTCTCAAAAAAAAAAAAAAAAAAAGCAGCATGCAGAACAAAATCTAAGATGTTGCCATGAAGAATTGTCTCTCAACAGTTATCTAACTTGTCCAATGTTACATAGTTAGTAAGTTCCTAAACAGAGGTATCATCAAATCTGGCTGATGGTGGATTCCATATTTTTAGCCATAGTTGTATAACTACTACCAAGTTATCCTTGGATTAATGAAACAAGTCAATATGATAAAATGTAATAGTAATAAAGTGGAGAATGAATGAAAGTACCTAGAGTGAAGTAGGTAAAAGTTCTCACTATGAGGTCAAATGTTTGGGGAGTGGTAAGCAGAGATACTGAAGTACCTGAGAATGATTAGGACAATGGAAAGTAAATTTTGAACCTGCCAGTGAAGTCTATGAGAATGGACCTTGAGGTTTGAAGCTGATAAACATAAGAGCTAACCTATTGTGAATAGAGAGCAAACCCTTATGTTCTCTAGTGACATGTATTTTAATTCTGAACCTGTCAACTAAATCTCATTCTACCCTACTGCCTTTATCATTTTCTTTTCTATTGAGGGAAGCTCCATTTATGCAACATCTATTGTGTGTTATAGTGAAGAAAACAACCACAATGGTAGCAAAGTAGTACAATGTGATTATCCTCACTGTCCCACTCTAAGTTTTTTAAAAACTATTTCATTAAGAAAATATAGTGCATGAAACGAATGATAGATCCAAGGATTGCTGGATGACATAATATAAGGTCTAATTTTTATGAGGTCAAAAGAGAAGAGCACTTTGCCATAAAATAGTGGAGGAAGAGTTTGAGTAGGATTGTAGGCTGTCAATGATAGAGAGGATAGGGAAAAGCATGAGTAAGAATATAAGATTGGTACTGTTCTTATAACATTCAGGGCATTCTAAATATACCATTTGAAGCAGAGAGTTCTTTGAGGGGAGTAGTAATGCTTGCTGCCTCTAAGAGATATGATTCCTCAACATAGAGGAAGAGAGATATTTCTCCAAAATGTCTGTTTACTTTGTAACTTTCTACTATTCATACATGTTCCTGACTGAGCAAGAACAAATTCCAGCTGATCCCCAGTCTTCTTCTGAGTGCATCTGCAGCTTTAATCATTATCTTGCCTATTGTCTGTGGTCTTGAGGACGAATCTGAACATGTGAAATCACTATTAGGAGTTTTCAACAAAAATAAATATTTCAAATCTCTTGCCCCCTCTGCCTGGGGTGGGAGGGCCTTTCTCTTTTTTGATGCTCCATAAGGTTGAGGTCTCTGCAAGACTTTACTAGAATTTACTCAAATTATAACACCAAGATTGGAGCTCTGGATTTTAGCTATGGCTAAAGCACAAAGCTAAAATCAGAAGTTAATCTGATTATTAGAAGTTAATTTGGTTAGTATTTACAAAAGTAATACTGTTTGTCAAATTATATATTCAGGGATAGCAATTGAGAGAGTGGACTTATGTATTTTGTTCATTCAATATTTATTTATTTCCCACAGTGCAAAATGTAAGAGGCTAATTTCTTGTAGGTGTTGTGGCATTTTACAAATTCAATAGTAAGGTATGAAATTACCTCTTTCCTTTTCTCTTACCAACTGTGGGAAGTGGAAAGCAAACTAATATTTTTGCTAATCTTGTAGATGTTGATGGGGTGTTATTTATATTTTTCAGTTTTTCATTTTGAGTGATATTGAGGATATTATATTTTCTTTCCCTTTTTTAAAATAGAGACAGGGTCTCGCTCTGTTCCCCAGGCTGGAGTGCAGTGGTGTGATCATAACTCACTGCAACCTCAGACTCTTGGGCTCAAGTGATCCTTCCACCTCAGCCTCCTGAGTAACTGGGACAACAGGCATATGCCACCACACTTTTTAAAACATTCAAAAAATTTTTTTAGAGACAGGTCTCATTATCGTGCCCAGTCTGGTTTCAAACTCCTGGGCTCAAGCGATCCACCCACCTCAGCCTCCCAAAATGCTGGGCTTGAGCCACCACACCCAGCCTCTATTTTCAAATATTTATTGATTATTTATATTTTACTTTCTGTGAATTGCTCATTCAAATCATTGTGCTTTTTTATTGCATTCTGTAGCTTTTTCTTATTGATTGGTAAAATGTTTTTGTATATCAAGAAAATTAACGTTTGTCAATCCTATGTCTTAAATAATTTTTCTTACTTTGTTGTTCTTCTTTTGACTTGGCTTACAGTAGATCTTACTCCAGAGGAGTTTTACTTGTTTTTAATAAAATCATATCTTGATTCTTTTACTTCCTGTATTCACCATCATACAAGTTTTTTTTTAATTTAAATTTAATTTTTTTTTTTTTTTGGGACAGAGTCACAGAGTCTTGCTCTGTTGCCTAGGCTGAAGTGTGTTGACATGATCATAGCTCACTGCAGCCTCAGTCTCCCAGCTCAAGTGATCATCTTGCCTCAGCCTCCTGAGTAGCTGGGACTATGGGTATGCACCACCATGCCTGGCTAACTTTTTGATTTTCAATAGAGACGGAGTCTCACTATGTGGCCCAGGCTGGTCTTACCAAACTCTGGAGCTCAAGTGATGTTCTTGCCTTGTCCTCTCAAAGTGTTGGGATTACAGGCATGAGTCACCGTGCCTGGCCATAAAATGCTTATAGAACAATATCAATCAAAAAAGTGTATTGAATAAATAAATAAATAAATGGACAAACTTAGGCCATTTTTCGTGAATGCCATAGTAAATAGTTATTATTATCTATACACTCTTTCTCATCAATTACACTGAAAATTTTATTTTAAATCAGAATAAATGCTTCATTTAAATGGTATTTAGGAATGTATTGGATGGATATTTGTGAGCAATCTTAGAAAAGTTATGCCTGAAGCAAACTAAAATCACTTGCTCTATGATGCCAGAGCCAGAGCAAGGGAATACAGAACCCAGTTGTTAATTTTCTGTACACAGCATTCTTTTTGTTTCACCCAGTTAACAGATCTACATTCACAAAGGCTATGCCATTTTACTGGGTCTGTAAAATGTGAGAGAAGCACAAATAATCTTTTATTCTTGAAACGTGGGGGTATAAACTGCCTAGACAAAAATTCACCTCCATTAGGATGACAAAGAGAAGTATTCTAGAGAGTGTTTGAGTCTCCAAGATTTGGTCAAACTTCTCTCAAAAGATTATATAAAATAACAGGAGCACATTCAGGAGGTAGAAAACTTGCTTTTTGACCAAAGAGACACTGTATTGTGTCACTGTATTGTATTGTGTTAGGAACTGGGACTCTGCAGTCAGTTACATTTCAGTCCCATTTCTGCTACTACTGATTTAACCTGAAGAAGTTGCTTGAACCTCTCTCTGCATTGGTGTCCTCATCTGTAAAATAGGAATAATAATGGTGCGTATATAGAGAGCTATTGAGATGATTAAATATTTTTATATACATAAAGCATTTAGAATGATGCCTAGTACATGGTAGGCACTCAATAAGTATTACTTATGAATTAAGCAACTGATCATCCAGAAATGAGCATAGAAATAAGTAAGAATTAAATAAACTATATTATTTTATCATTATTTTTATTTATTAAATTATAAGCCACTCCCAAATAATTTCATTTGGACTTTCGTACTTATATTATAGGCCTTCGCCTATTAAGTTTTAATTATTTTTGACTAGTCTGTCTTGACAAACTATAAATTTCTCAAGGGCAAGTCCCTGTCTTTTTCAACTTTGTAACAATTCTATCAGCAGCAGAGTGTCTGGAAATGTCACACTTACACAGGGCATGGTTTATTGAAAAAAAAAAACAACTAGTTATATTAAAATAGTAAGTCTAAAGTATCAGATTAACAATGTTGAAAGTAAAATATATAAAGTGCTCTCACAATACACGTATATTTAGTTTTGTTAAAGGAAGAGAATTAGAAGTTTAGAAAATAAAAGAATCAAACAAATAAAAAATATTTAATATTTTCAGTGTTTGATGGCTTCTTCATATACTTACATTTCTAAGAATAACTGTTTATTTAATGATAAATTAATGGGTGTTAACATAGAGGAGGACCAACAAAGATATGTCTTGGGAGATATCTTTTTCTACTGTCAAAAAAAGGCTGCATGTATTTCTTTTCACTTGATTGTAGCAGACTTTTCTGAGCTCTTATCTGCTGCAGACACTGAGTAGGTTTAGTGCTGGTAATAAAAGATGAATGAGACCATTTTCCAGCCCTCAGGAGTTATACAATCTAGTACAAGGGACAGATAATCACAGCAGAATATAGCAGGTGCCATAATTAAAAGTAATATTTTATAGAAAGAAATTTTGAGAGTGTAGACAGAAAATGTGACATGTAATCTAGAAATGGAAAAACCTGCAGAAATTAGGTGAGTACAAGAGACGGGAAGAGAGTCTATAAGAAAGAGGAATTTTAGCAAAGGGTTGAGGGTATGAAAAAGTTCATTGAGTGGTAGAAATGGTGCTTACAGAAATATCCTGTTCCCTAAAGGTGGTTTTCTTTCAGATGGCTGCAATAAACTTATATTCATAAATTCAATAGACAACAAGAATATGAGTTGGTATGCCTTGCCTCCTAGATTTGTCTCTTTTAACTTAACTCTGTCCTCCTAATTCTTACCTGACTTCTAAAGAATTATTTCCTGAATCTAATGAATTAGATTAAGAGGTGTTCATCTTTGTCCTGCTTTCTCCTATTTTTGATTCTGTGCATTATTTTTTTCCCACTTAATGGTGTGATAAAAGTAAGAATAAAAATTCCAACCAATCATTGTTGAAACAAGAGGGAACTTATTACTGTTCATGGAAAGATCTTTGTTTCTGCAGGAACATTCTATGTGCATAACAGAGAAAGATTCCAACTATGGCCCCCTTGATAGATGATGAGGATTTTTCTCCTGTTTGATGGTCAAGGGTCTTGCCGCCAGCTTTCAGAGGCGAGTGAGGAAACACACTCACAGTCAGGTGCTATGACAGCAAGAGACATGGTGCTCCAGGGTCCTGGACATTGGGATTTCAAATAGTTTGGGTTGGTTTTATTGCTTTGCTGAATCAGAATACTGCCAAACTAAATGACCTCTAGCCATGTATTTATTGGTAAGTTCAAGCAAACGAATGAAATAGTTTCACATTTGTTTTCAAGCAAACAGCGAGAGATGATGTAGTTGGATGTTGCCTTGGCTTCAAGTAGCAAAGAAAGTCTGGGATTAGTTGTCAGTATTGGGTAGCATGCTGAACTGGTGGATCTAGGAAGCAAAAACTGTCAAGAATCAGAGGGTTTTGAGAACAATGTATTTCTGCTTTTTATTGTTTTTGAGACATCTTCTCAATTTCTTTTTATGGAGGTAATTAGAGTGGTTCACTTGGTCACAAGGAATCACTTACTAAGGTAAAGGATATGGGAATGTATGATGCTAGGGATTAAAAATGACAAATTCCAAACTTTTGGGTATGGACATGCTAAGCACTGAACAGTATTGTGGTTATTATAGACTTTTAATAGTGTACAACTAAGTTTGTCATAAATGAAATTCAAAAGTCTGACTTAGACACAGTTTCTACTATATGTATTTCCATAGTTTGTCACTAGAAGAAATTATTTCAGTATTGATGATGTTACTTAAGATAATTAATGATACTACTTAATAAAATAATGATGTTATCTTACTTAAGGAAGCTTCAGAAGACTTTCCAAATTATCTGGCAGCGTTACAATCTTATTCTTCTCAGTACTGCTTGCAATAAGTGAGCATATTGGCCAGAAAACTTGGTATTTATTGGGCACCTATGATGTGTTCATTGCTTTATATGTTTAGATGTATAGAGACAGGGAAAGTGATATAAAATAAGTACATATACAGATCTACTTATGATATCAAGGAACATTTTTTGCAGGGAAATAATGTAAACAAATGGTAAAACATGACAAAAAAGTAGAATTTTATCAAAGAAGGGTTTGGGCTATTTTAATATCAGTAACAAGGAAATTTGACTTATAGTTTTATTTTATTCAATTATTTTATTATGCTAAGTTTAATTTATGACACTGTATTTTTAAACACATAATCACATTTCAGGAGACAGCACAAAGGATTTTTTTTAATGCATGTGTAGGTAAACAATAATTTACTTTAATAGCAAGTGGTCACTTCATCCTCTCAAACTTGATGTCTAGAAGTAAATTTGTTACCTCATCACCCAACAATTTGTCATCTTGACTGGCCTATATTTATTCATGACATTACTATTTTTAAAATATGCCAGGTTTGAGATTTTTGTGTCCTCTTTTAATCTTTCTCTGCTTAGTGTTTCATATTCAAGTAGCAGCGAACTTTGATGCTCCTCAAAATCATTCCTGTCACTTTTTCCTTTTCATTTCTATTAATGTTACCTCAGTCAGACTTTTTCCAATGTAGATCGGGATGCTGTAAGAGACTCTTAACTAATCTCCTGGTCTTTGGTCTTCCCCAACTGCCAATTAATGTGCAAATCATTGCTTAATTTATCTTTCCTATTTCCCTTTTAATCATATTGCCACTTGCAAAATAAAATCTCTAAAGACTTCCATTTGATTGGAAAATAAAGTTTAAATTTTTAGAACATTAAAAAATTATTATGGAAAATTAAACATATGCAAAAGAAGACGGGATATTATAATAAACCCCTATGTGCCTGTCACTCAACTTCAACAATTATCAGCTCATAATCCATCTTGTTAAATCTCTATCTCTGTCTACTTTCCACATCCACATTAATTTCAAGAAAATAATTGGCATTATATTATTTCATCTGTAAATATTTCAGTATGTATCACTAGAAGATAAAACACATAAGCACATTGCTATTATCACGCACAAAATAAAATTGAGCAGTGATTTAGTCAAATACCCAATCAGTGGCCACATTTTTGTTTCATAAGTGTCATTTATATATTTCAGTTTGTTTATTTGAATCAAGATTTAAATAATGCCCACACTTTGTGATTGGTTGGTGTGTCTTCTAATCAATGGACTTCATCTCTATATCTTCTCTCTTCCCTTTCAACAGCTTGTTGAAGAAACCAGATCATTTGTTTTGTAGAGTTCACACTCTCAATTTTGCTGGTTACACTTTTGTGGTGCCTTTCTTTTGCGCTTCCTTTGTCTATGTTCCCTATAGATTGGTGCTGAATTGATGATCAAATTTAGATTTGATTTATTTTGTCAAGTCTTCTTTGTAGATAGTGGTGTGTTCTTTTATCAGAAGACATCATATCTGGTTAGTCCTTTTTCTGATAATAGCAGCTATTGATGTTCACATTGATCCACTAGTTCACTGGGAATTGAAAAATGGTGATATATTAATTATATCATTGATTCTTCATTTATTAGTTAGACTACTTCTTTAAAGAGAAATTTCACTTCATGTCCTGTTTGGTTATCCAGGGGTACAGTTTATATAGAAAAAAAATAGCATTGCTTTTAATAAATCCAATGACCTAATTTGCTGACTTTCCAATCTTGTCTGCCACTGGTTCCTCATAAGGTGTGTGTGTGTTGTAGTTTGGTCTATCCACTGTTGATTAAATATGCCTCACACTCTTGTTCATGGTCACCACTGCCTTTAGTGGTAGAGATTATATAGGTCTTTCTTTGAATGTTCTACAGTGTGGAACTGCTCATTATGGTATTTGGTGCTGTAAGAAACCACAACATCGGCCGGGCGCGGTGGCTCACGCCTGTAATCCCAGCACTTTGGGAGGCCGAGGCGGGTGGATCATGAGGTCAGGAGATCGAGACCATCCTGGCTAACAAGGTGAAACCCCGTCTCTACTAAAAATACAAAAAATTAGCCGGGCGTGGTGGCGGGCGCCTGTAGTCCCAGCTACTCGGGAGGCTGAGGCAGGAGAATGGCGTGAACCCAGGAAGCGGAGCTTGCAGTGAGCCGAGATTGCGCCACTGCAGTCCGCAGTCCGGCCTGGGCGACAGAGCGAGACTCCGTCTCAAAAAAAAAAAAAAAAAAAAAAAAAAAAAAAAAAAGAAACCACAACATCGGCCGGGCGCGGTGGCTCACGCTTGTAATCCCAGCACTTTGGGAGGCCGAGGCGGGCTGATCACGAGGTCAGGACATCGAAACCATCCTGGCTAACACAGTGAAACCCCGTCTCTAGTAAAAATACAGAAAAATTAGTCTGGCGTGGTGGTGGGCGCCTGCAGTCCCAGCTACTCGGGAAGCTGAGGCAGGAGAATGGCGTGAACCCGGGAGGCGGAGCTTGCAGTGAGCCGAGATCGCGTCACTGCACTCCAGCCTGTGCGACAGAGCGAGATTCCGTCTCAAAAAAAAAAAAAAAAAAAAAAAAAAAGGTAAATACAAAGGCACTGACCTATGAATCTCCCTTTTGGGCATTAACATCATTTTTCTAGTGGAGACTTGACTTTTAAGACCACATTCTCTAACTTCACATAATTTAAGCATTTTTTCATGAAGGCAACTTTAAGAAAAAGAATAGCCTAGCCACCCTAACTCATGTTCATTACAGAGGCATAGCTTATGAGATACCTGTCCTCAATAACCAAAAGGTACTTCTGAATGTTTTCTGATACATTCTGGTTATTGAGGCCCAGTATCTCATAAGCTATGCCTCTGTAATGAACATGGGTCATTATAACATGTGCTGGTACACATCCTTTTCAGACTGATCTTTGTCTCAAAGCATATCTCTTCCGTTAAGAAACATATAGATTCCTCACATGTCTGCTTCCAACTTGAAAGCCTCTAGAACTTAATACATTCTTTCCACCTACTATCTAGCACTCATGCTTAGAGATTGCTGGCGTTGTTTTTCTAAAGCCTCATCTGCATAACATGTAGACTAGAAAGTTGGTGAACATAAGTCTTTGCTCTTGAATCCGTCTGAATTAAAGAAGGAAATGTCTGATCAAATATGTTATATTTATAATTTCAAATTGCTAAGTGACAACCAGTTGAGCATTACTGGATTCATTCTAATTTTATTATTAATCAAAACTGCAGTATATATTTTTAAATTTTATGTTTCTTTTGCTTATTTCCACCCTTGTGGTGAATTTTTTAGACTATGTTGAAATTGATCAGTGCATAGTTAGTATGCTTCAGTTGTAAGTCTAGTTATAGACATAGCTGGGCTAGAAAGATGAGAGACTTGAGGAAGCCTGTGTGATTTCATAAATAACCATTTGAGATTCAAACATTTTTTAACGTATTGCTGGGACTAGCTTTTGGGATTGGCTTCTTCACTAAGCCTGTGCCATTGAACCATAGACAGTCTGAAACCAACCTTGATGGGTATGCTCGAGCAAAGCAAGAGGTCAAAGCACTGAGCCTCTGAGTAAGTCTGGTAGGGAGCAAATATAACAGTTTTGGAAAAATGAACGTGATAGTGTTTTCATAGGAACATCTGAGAGGGCAGGCAGATACTCATTGGGCTCAATGTATATGGTTTTTGTATGTATTTTTTAAAATTTATGACTCATTATTGGCTAATGAAGAAGTATATTCAAAGAGGGTTAAGGGTTAAGTGAGAGCTGGTTCAACCAGTGCAAAAGTAGGATAAGTATTCTATTGGTTTCATGCTCTTCCCAACCATATTCATGATGTTTATGGACACATATCACTAAGAGATATATGGAGCTTCCAAGAATTATTACTGTTGTATGGTCAAATTGAATGGAACTGTTTGGGGCATGGTTTTTGTGTGCCTTTCTGCGAGTCCATAAGGGCAAAACTATTTTCACAGTAATACTGAGACCTTTGGTTTTTCACTTTTTTCAGTGTTGATATATGCAGTAGTGGTTAAATCTGTTGATGCTTTAGCATGAATAAAGGCAGGCACCAAACTATACCGGTGGTCATTGTACTCTTCACTGCCACTGCAGTCACAGGAAGAAAAATAGCACATGAAACAAATGCCAGATTCCCTTAAAATTTTTCTTGAAGCAATGAAAATCTATTAATTTTTAAAAATCTCTACCTGTAAGTCCCTGTCTTTTTAATATCCTGTGTGACAAAATGAGAATGTGTAAAGCACATCGACTGTATCCCATAGTGCAATGGTTGTCTTGAGGAAACCACTTATGTAATTGTTTGAATTGTGAGCTGAACTAGCTGCTTTTTTCATTAAATGCCATTTTAACTTGAAAGAACAATTCCACTTCTCTCATTTGTTTGGAAAGCATAGCAAGTTCCTTTAAAATATCTTATTTATATTAACATATGATAGATTATTTTTATATGAATTTAATGCATACTTATTTTTTAAATTCTTGGCTTTAATTTTTCATTTAATATGGTAAATAACCACAAATGAATACTCTTAGGGGGTCCTCAGTAATTTTTAAGAGTGTCAAAGAATTCTAAAATCAAAAGTTTGAAGACCACTGCTCTAGGTTATCTTTTCTGAAATAAACTCCCTTTTGTCTATATAAGATCTAGTAACTTCAAAGGTATTACATTTCTGTGATTCTAAGATTCTGTGATTTTAAGATTTTGAGATTGCCACAAAAGGATGGGTAGGGGAAAACAGACCTTTTAGTAGATAGCTATCTGCATTCTGTTTCAATGAGTGAGCTGAGTGGAGCTGGTATGCGTTCTTTGATTTCTTTCAACAAACATTTATAAAGTACCTGCACTGTATAAAGTATAATGCTGGTTGCTATAGAGAATACCCAGTGAATCATTCTTAGAGGCATTAAGTTGTAATCTTCATGAAAGCAAGAACTTTGTCTTTTCTAGCAGGGGAAGCATCGTGGTAGGCAGGCGGATGTTTTTGAAATCCACACGAGTCACTCGTTTTATCTCCTTAGGCAGGTTGCTATCCTCTCTGAACATTTTTCTTCAATTGTAATATGGGAAAAATATATACTATTCTGGATTATTTTGATGATTAGGAACTTTTAATGTGAAGTGCTATAGCAGAGTTCTGAAATATTTTAGCAAGGTTATTTAAAGGGCTTGATTTTGTAGCTGTTTTCTAACCCAAGAAGTATAGAAACATAGAAGGGAAAATTCTATATGTATATGTAAAAGTAATTTTTAAGAAAAGTTTAACTCATAAAAGCAAAATTTATTTTTAGTGGCCAGAAAATAATTAGGCTGTCAAAATTAATTTATTTTTTCAAAAGAGAACTGATTTTTGTAAAAAAGTGTAAGTTAAAATAGCTATTAGATTTGTTTGCTACATTAGGTTCTGTTAACCATAACCAAAACTGAGTTTTAATATAGTCATTTAGCTTATCTTTACTTATTTTTGTCATTTTCCTTTAAAAATCTATATTATAGAAAAAAATTGATAGAAATTCTATATTAATAATAAAAGTAATACACATCAAGTTAAGCAAAAGAAGGTTTTCAGTGATACTATTCCTTCAGATATAAATGAACATGTTTTACTTGTTTCTAATTTGATTTTATAGATTTAGTTCCAAATAGTGGTGCTTTACTTCACTGAAGAAAGCATTTAAAAATTTTATTACAGTAAGGTTATTTCATTTCCATGTTAAATTTATTGCCTAATAGCAATTCATTCTATAAATCAGAATTTCATAAAATGCAAAAATTTTTTTTTAGTCTGAGTGTTCTTTTTAAATCTTTACAGGAAAATGGATGTGTCTTTGACAGAGACTATTTTCATGTATCTCTGCTTGTGCAAATTATAGAACATAAATTTTCTTTCTCCAAAAATAGATTGTTGCTTGCCTGGTGACTCCAGTCTTTCTGTGGCATAGTGATGTTTGGCTTCTGGTTCTTATTGAGAGGTGCAGTATATGGATTTTAAACATTGCAGCTATAGAAATCGATCCAAATGTATAATAACCTTAGAATACTTTTACTTATACGTAAAGAAATACTGTGTCATTACGTGTCATTTATTAATGTGGAAGAAACTAGAGATTCTTCCCTGGGTTGGTATACACTGACATTTATTTTTAAACATGGAATTCTAAAGTAGAGGTGGAATAGAGCAATGAATGCTCTTTACAGAGGCAGAGGCACAAGGAAGCCTATGCCCATTTTTAGATTTCTATATTGCAGACTATTTTTACATTTCTCTTCATTCATCAACTGCTCTTCAAGTCAAATATGCATGCTCACTAATTTAACAGGCACCTGTTGTCATGGCAGCAGAGAACAAAAATGAAATTCATTATTTTATGCGGTGAGAGTTCGCAGGTGATACAGATGCTGGCGGGGGTGGAGCAGGGGGGAATACTGTGGGCTTTTGCTTTGTATAGCTCCCCAAGCAAGAGGCTGTGTCTATATTAACAAGTGCCATGGGATTGTGGGATTTGTCCGAGGTTGCATTCTTTACAATCTAGTGTCCCTTTATACACTCATTAGACTACATGGGGCCAACTCTAGTTCTATTGATAATATGGCAACCATACAGTGGTTTTCATCAAGACAAATTCATGAAAAGGGATTTTCCAGTGTAAGTTATTAGCTGATAAACAAATAAGTCCATGTGTTTTTGCATCTGTCTGTCTGAAGGGATGCTGGTAATGATAACGATTCTCACTGTCTTTTTCCCTTTTTGAAATAATTAAAATAATTGTTGAAAATGGAACTTTTTTCTAAATGAGATATCCAATGAGGTAACTTGGATTGAAAGAAATCTTCCAGAAAACTGCTAATTATAGAAAAGCATTTCCTTTGGTTATTTCTGTCAACCTGCCTAGTATGTATTTATTGAATGCCTATTACATACATGGCATTATGGCGGACCCTCTGTGAGATATGAGAATTCGTTATCCATGGTTAGTTAATTTAAACCCACATAAAGAAACTAACCAAAAGCACACAGCAAGCACAGGCCATTCCATTATTTGGCCTGTTCAATTTTTTTTGCACTTTATTCAGTGTATGCTGCATTTAAAAAAATCCGTTATCTTGATAAGCCACCATCATTTGGTTTATTTGACTCTTCCCAATACAAAACAGTGCTTTGGAGGAGCATTGTAAATAGCCAAATACAAAGTGGGTGCCAACTTTCAGCAGGGTTCATTCAATAACAAACATTTATTGAGTACCTACTATGTGGTAGGCATTGGGTGAAATACTATGGTGAATGTTAAATTCCACCAATCACATGTCTTATTGCATATTTATACTTTCTCTCTGATATGCATTCTTCTTTCTAAAGATGCAGTTTTTAAATGCTAAAAACAAATCATTTGAAAAGAGATGGTGAGGATCTTAAGATGCTGACTTACCAAACCAGAAACACACACACCTACATACACACTTGTGATTATACCCTCACTTAGACCCTTAAAGAGGTGGAAAAACAGAAGTTTATCTAATTTAACTAACAGATTTGAATGAGAATAACATTTGGATGATGGGAATTTCCTACCTATGTTAGGAAGAACATCCTCATTTTACCCTGTTTTTAGCTGTCAAGCACATTCTGCCTGTGTTTCCTTTAGTTGTCATTCTTTTACTGTTTTCACCTGATGCCCTACCCACTTGCCTTCAACCTTTCTTCCAGCTCTGCATGAGAAAATAAAAATGAAACTTGCAGACACATAAAAAATTTTTAGCTTTTTTTTTTATAGGCACAGTGCATTTTCTGGGGGTCCTGCTATGTTGCCCAGGCTCGATTTGAACTCCTGGGCTCAAGCAATTCTCCTGTCTCAGCCTCTTGAGTAGCTGGGACCGTAGGTGCACATAACTGCACCTAGCTAACAATACCCTTCTTCACCTTTCTATCTGACTACCTGCCCTAATGTTCCCCTTACTCTCAGTAATGTGGTCTCCTATTGCGCCACTCACAGTAGGATCCAAGGACCCATGCCACTTTATACCAGTTCATGATGAGATAATGCAAAGTTACAAGTAAGCATTTAGAAACTTTGATAATAATTTGATAGAATAATTTTGCCTGCTGAATCTAACAAGATGTTTATCTGGTATTTTCCATTTCAAAAACTTTATTTCTCTGATGATTAATCATTTTTTTAAACAAAACAATAGTCTACATAGAGAAGCACTGGCCAAATACACTTATTGTATCTCTAAAGATGCCTTTGGATTTCTTACCTCCATGCCTTTGCCTGGTTTTTAGCTAACACTGCCTGGCTCTTAAAATTTAACTGTAATGTCATCTCCTTCATGAGCTTTTCTCTGAAATCCTACGGAAGTTCTTTGTATTTCTGACGAAACCTTTATAACTAATATTTTAAATTCAGTATCATTTAACGTTCTACACAAATGCGCCTCCTTTTTGCAGTATCGTTTTGGAGACTACCCCCGAGAGATACAATCAGGATGGATAAGAGCATGGACTTTAAAGCTGTAGATACCTGGACTGGAATCCTGAGTTGTGTCATTTAAGAGTTGAGAGGCCTTGGGGAGGTCAACTAGCCCTTTTCTGCCTCAGTTTCCTCATTTATCAAATGAGACTATTGGTATCACCTATGTCTTAAGGTTACTATGAGGATTAAATGAAATAATACATGTGAAGCATTAAGTATACAGTTCCTGGCACATACTAAACACTCAATATAAAACTGCTATTAATATTTTTATTATTAATATTAGCAGCATTTTATATATATAAATAAAATAAAAATATAGTACTTTTTTTTTTTTTTTTTTTTTTTGAGACGGAGTCTCACCCTGTCGCCCACGCTGGAGTGCAATGGGGCGATCTCGGCTCACTGCAACCTCCACTTCCCGGGTTCAAGTGATTCTCCTGCCTCAGCCTCCTGAGTAGCTGGGATTACAGGTGTGTGCCACCACGCCCGGTATCTTTAGTAGAGATGGGGTTTCACCATGTTGGCCAGGCTGGTCTCAAACTCCTGACCTTGTGACCCACCCACCTCAGCCTTCCAAAGTGCTGGGATTACAGGCATGAGCCAGCATGCTCGGCCAAAATATAGTACTTTTTATTGCCTTCATCCAAGCATTGCCTGAAATTAGTGATTTAATCATACTGTTTTGAGGAAAAAGAAGATGTGAAGAAACTGACACAATTTCTTGATAGGCCCATTTTTGAAGACATAGCTGGTGTGGGTAGTGTGCATAGGGTTGGAACATCTTTAGGTTTCTGCAGATTTCTAATGGGTTTTGGTGAACTAGGACAGTGCTGCAGAGGCACCCTTGTGTAGGTGCTGCAAGCATAAGTCGAATCACTCATGAGATGCTTTTTTCCTACATGCAAAACTAACACTACCAAAGGAAAATGGAATTAAAAAAAACTTTAGAAGAAGGAAATATATCTAAAAATATCCCACCACCACCACCAAAAAATTTGGCTGGAACACCTGGGTTTTTCTGAGTATAATTTTAGTTAGGTAAACATTGAAAAAATGTATTTTCCTAAGAAAGGAAAGACTCATTTTATGGAAAATGGTGATTGGCAGTATTTTAAGATGCAGAAGATTAGTTTTGGAAAAGACATTCCTGTTTTAAAGAATAAGATGTGAATTTGAACAAGCAGCAATAATGAGGACTAACACTCATTATTGCTTAGCTGACAAAATGTATCCCCAAATAGCCTTCTTGTAGGATAGTTACCTACGCAGACACGTAGATGTACACTACAGTGCTTAATCATGCAGTAGTTAAGTGAATGTTTTAAGTGTGCACTAAACAAGTATATTAAAACCATATTATGGATTCATAGCTATGTAGGATATGCTTTATTAGGCTTTAAAAATTAGATAAGCTGTCTTAAAAGTAAGCATAAATATGCTCAATAGAAAACTAAATTAACTGCCTAACAAAATGGCACTGAATTTAAGGGTGTAGATTATGTTTTTGTGGTCAAGTTATTTTTGGTATATTGAATATGAATTCAAAAGGAAACCTATAAACAAAATTCTGAGAAGAGCTAGAGAACATGAATTAAGAGGTACGTAAGCCCTTGCTAGACAAGGGCAATAATACAAAGACGTAATTTACTATAGTTGGAGCATAAGGAAAACAAAGTAAAACCTAGATTATTTGAGACCTTACAGCTGATTTTACATCTGCAGGTGTACACACAGTGTTCGTGCACGCGCACACACACACACACACACACATATGCCCATCAAGTACATATATAGATCTGAAAAAAATTAGTGGCAACATTTTCTATAAGAGAAGTTGGGCTGAATGCACACACCTGTTTTCAGTAATAATGTCTCTTAGATCTGAATGGCACAACAGTCTGTCAGGGAGGTGGTGAAATCATCACAGACAGTTGAGTGATTCAAAATTAGATCAGACGAAGTACTTTAAAAGTACACTGTAGCAAACAATCTAATGTTGGTAAGGCAATAAAAAGATGACCTAAATCAATCTTTTCAACCTTTAACTTTTAATGCTTTTGTGTAGTTTAAAAATAGAAAAATATAATGTTTACAGAAGTACTGAAAGGGCCTTATCTCTAAAGAGCTTATTATTTAACATAAATATATGATATTCATGGTTTTGTTATAGAAACAGTACAAATGTAGTTATGTATCTTAGTCCTTTCCCCACTACTATGAAGTCCACAATGATGGAAGAACTAAGGGTTTGAAGAAGCATTTAAGAAATGTTTGGTAGCATTTTCTTTACGGGTTATATTCAAAACACATATGTCCAATATAATAGACTTTGATATTTAGTCAAAATTAAATAAGATTTAAGTTTTTTTATTTTTAATGTTAATGTAACTAGATAAAACAATGATGATAAAATGGTACACAGATTCTCTGAGAATCATTAGTTAATGTGTATTTAAAAAAAGGGGTGATTGAGTGGGAAGCAGCTTATAGAAAAGTTAGTTTTCATGTTCTTTCTGACCTTAACTTAAATAATTGGCAATCAGATGCAGTCTCTTTTATATCATTTGATTTCTCTTATACTCAAAGTCAGTGAAGGTACTGCGTAAAATGACTGAAATTGAGAAGAAAGGGCTCAATAAAGTTCTCTAAAAGTTTCTAATTTGTGCTTTTTTCATTCCATGTGCTATTCTAACCTACAGTGATTTGCTTGGGGCACTCTTGCTCACCTTTGGGAAACCTTCTTATTCTCATGTCAATCAAATGCACATTAACAAGCAGTGGTAACTTACTGTTCCCTGGAGTCAGTCTATGTGACTTTTTGGATGAACTATGGGTTAGACTTATGGTCCCATGGATCAGTGGCTTGGAACCAATCTTGACAGAACCCTCCTTTTCTGTGACTGTTTCTAGGCCAGCAGTGTACCCTTTGACTGGTGCAAATGCTTGGTCGCTCGCTTGCCACACATGTGACCAGCTTTACATAAACTTCATAGAAAATTGGCTTATGCTAACTTCTCTTACAATCCTTGATCTCAAGCATGCTATTTGATACAAAGTCCATTTACATACAGTAAACAGAGAAGAAAGTCCTTTGTCCAGTTCTTGAAGCTTGTTCTGGTAGCAAAGGAAAACTAAATAACCATTTCAATTTTCCATTGGAAGTGGTAATGGTGGAGAGGTGCTGACCATGGGTAACATTTGCCTTGGTGCCTAGCTCACTGATAGGATGTAGAAGATGTTCAATAACTGTTTGTTGGATAAATGAATAAATGATCATTCCAAAGTAGGCTAAATTTTGGCACTGCTTTTCGGCATCCCTTTCTAAGCAGCTGGTCTCCTAGACAGCTCCATGGGAGCTGCAGAAACACAGGAGGATGAGAAAAAGATGGGAATTTAATACCAAAAGAATAAAAGTGGCAGTGTCTGTCTAGCCATCTTTTGACTAGTTAGCCTAAAACCATTCAATATGACGTACTGGGGAAAAAAATCGTGGAATTTTGGAGACAAACAAATCCACGTCTAAATCCTCACTTTGCTACTTACTTACTAATATTCTACCCAGGGCAGGTTACTTAATGTCTCTGAGGCTGAATTTTTCTTCATTTAAAATGGATAAATTACTCTTTGTCTTAGAAGCTTGTTTTGAGATAAATAACTTTGGATGGTATGTAGGTGTGTTTCAACAAGAGTAACAGTAGTTTTCATTTTTTAAGTGTCTTATAGATGCTTGGGACAGGGACAGAGGGTGTACACATATTTTCATCAATCTTTCTACCAGGTGTTCGAGGTAAAGAGTATCATTCCTGTTACTCAGGCGTTTACATTGAGAGTCGGTGATGGAAAGGAATCTACACAAGGTTGCAGAGCTCAGAAGTGTGAAAGCAGAGATTTGACTTAAATTTATCTGATTCCTTTGCCCAGGCTTTATTTTACCTGATTCATAAATATTATTTCTTTCCTTACCCAATGGAAATGGAATTAAACAGTTCTTCTTTTTCTAATTAATCTGGTTACCCTCTTCTATAGGGTGGTATCCTTAACTCCCATAATAAACTTCAGTAGGCCCATTTTGTTCATATGTTTAGAATCTAGCTGTGGCCTCCATTTAGATAGTGCTTTTAGGTTTTATGATTTGGTCTCACATCTTTTCAATAGATTTCTTCTATGTGATTTCAAGTTAGCTTACTGTAATACTGAAGTCCAGATAGGCTAGGGGATGCAATAAACTTTTTGTGGCAATGAAGTAACTCCAATTTCCCATAAGCCACCTGAGGGAGAAAACAAGACAGAGCCTTCCAGACACATAGAAGTACAATGGTGTTTCTTCTGCTGTGCGTGGAGTCAGAGATTGTGCTGGCCATGTGTCTGTATGTGATGTCAGTGGGAACTTTGAATATTTAGGGTGGAGATGCCTAACTTGGATAATCTGACTTTGGATCTATTAGCAGAAGCTGGAAATGCTTATAACTATGACTGAGTCAGAAGGATATGAACCTTGGACTTGTTCTGACAGTTGCCTTTAATTAAATGAGCCTGGCCCTCTTAGATTCTGGCAAGTCAGCTATTCAGAAAGCACTGATCTTTGAAAATCTTGTAACTTTCCCAAGTTTTGTTTTCACTCAGCATCTTGGATTTTGTGTTTTCCATTTACAGATTTATAATCGCTTAGATACAAATTGCTGTGGATTCAGACCTCGCAAGGAAGATGCCTGTGTACAGAATGGATTGAGGCCAAAATGTGATGACCAAGGTTCTGCGGCTCTAGCACACATTATCCAGCGAAAGCATGACCCAAGGCATTTGGTTTTTATAGACAACAAGGGTTTCTTTGACAGGAGTGAAGATAACTTAAACTTCAAATTGTTAGAAGGCATCAAAGAGTAAGTTTTATAGTAACATCTGCAGGACATCACATTTATGTTAGATAAGTAGCAAGGTTCTGAGAAAACTCACATCTTACATCTGATCATTTTAACCCTTGAAAATAATTGTGAATGTGGAATCTGGGAATGGAGACCCAAGAAAGGAAACAAACCCAAGAAGAACAGAACCAGAGTGCAGCCATAGCGCCTCTATCAACAACCAATACCGCCTACAAAGTGCATGCTACATTTCACATTCATGATGTTGCTTGGTTCTCATTGTGAAAATCCATGTGGGTTTTGTTGGAAGAATGCAGGGACCTCTGGCATAGGATTTGGCAGAGCAGGGATAAGCAGGTGGCAGAGGCTCCATTATTAGGCATAAGATAGGACATGGGAAGAACTAATAGATGTGCAAATATTGACATGGCAGAATGTCTAAATTCATAATGAACTCAAGTGACTTTTATGAATGCAGTGGAAAATGACAGCCAATCTGGTAAGTAAGGCATAGTCTCAGAGGAAAGCTGGCTGTAGAATTCAGCAGGTGGATTTTTCAGCATTTTGAAATCCTTCAAGGAGACATAGATTAAGGGGAAAAGTATCTAACACCTGAAAGAGAGGGCTTATGGAGGCTAGTTAGGGAAGAATTATTTATTTACTTAGGGTTGACCAAGAATTCAGGGAAGATCTCAAAGATCTGGGGACATCCGACAAGACTCAGAAAGAATGCTGAGTGGAGAGGGAACCAAAGAAGGAGTTCTGCAATGCAGAAGTTAAAACACAGTGGTTGCTCATGGCACACTTGATCATACATCTATTGGAAATAAAGGAAATTAGACATTTAGTAATGGCAAGAACCCAGCTATAAAGTGTGAGCTGTTCAACCCCAGCAGTGGAAATTGTGGCTAGATTTCAAGCTCCACTGCCTAGTGGGCAGAGCCACTCTCCATACTTCCCATCTTAGTCAGAAATCAGATTGACTAAGAGACTGCGGTAGGGTGGAGACCTAAAAATAGAGGGTTCTTTGGTAAAATAGGTAACCAGCTGTGTGAAGCTAGGTGACTGCTGGAAACCTCATGAGCAAGTCTCAAATTGAGGTTAGAACCCAAGTCTTCCAAATCCAAGTCCAGTATTTTTTTTTTCTGTAATAACTGTGGTGCTAATTCTGTAGTAACTGTGGTGTGCTCTGTTACTATTATTCTTGTTAATAATATTCTGGAGCATATTTCAATCATTCTTCCTAAACACTATTACTTACATGGTGTGGATTTTATGTACTTTAGCATTAAGAGCAATACTGTTGCTATGAGAGTTTTATGAGACATGATTTTATAAGTTTTTGCCGGGTCCTGCCCTGTTGACACTTGTTTCTCACATCTCTTTGTGGATTGAAGGCAGGTTATGTGGCAGGTTCTCTCTTTTAAGCTAAGGAAATTTTATGTATCGGAAAATTTACTTTCCTAAGACATCACTTACTAAGGTGATATCGCAGGGTCTTCTTGAATCCCTAAATTCCCTCTTAGAATTAGGAGTGCCTGAAGAATACAGTCCATCCATTTCATACATTCATGTAAATGTGAATATCTTTATTTCTTCTTTCAAAGAAGATTTACATTTAAATGCATTATGAGGAGTAATGGGTTTGAAGTTAAATCTTCTTTGAAAATATAATTCACACATTGAAAAGCAAAAATGAAGGCTTTTCTAACCCCCAATTTATGCACTGAATATTCCTACTATTATATCAATGTAGTGCAGAGACAGGTAATATTTTTGCTTTCCTTTATGAAAAGGATTAGCCACTAAAGAGATCTAATGGTTTTAACGATTTCATCTCATACATTCTGCCACAGTTAAATTAGTTGAAGGGCTATAGAATTGACAATTCATGGATTATTAACACTTCATAAAGCAAAAATGCTACTTAATACTAGAGCCCCTAAAGTTGAGGCCCTAAACTATATAGTAATGTCTTCAGGGAACTCAGAGCATCTTATAAACATTCTTTCATTCCGCACTTCCTCACACACATTAAGCAAGTCCGGCGCCGTGGCCTTTGTTCTTTCTGCAGCATCAGAACTGCTGGAGCACCTGATCCTTGGCTTTCGGGCACCCTCTGTGCCATCTCCATTGTGCTCCATTGAAATTTGGAAGAGGTGCTTAGAAGGCCTGAAATTTCTGGCAAAGTGTACTCTTTAAGCAAGTATATATGTTCTTACTATAGTTTTTGAGGTATAACTGAGTTTATTAGAAATGTACTCTTAAAACAATATTTTTACTGTGCTTTTATCAGCATTTTAGTGAAAGTTGAGAAATGTCAAATTGGGGATTTAGCAAAATATTACTTATGTTTTTGATCTAGAAATTTTGCTAAGTCCTTCAGATAATGTATATGCTGGACTCCTGGCTTTCTAAACGAAGAAAAGCAAGCACAATGCATTCTTTTAAGGTAATTCAGCAAAGACCCCTCTAAATTGGTCTTAGGTTTTCCAGAGAGACTTTCATTGTGGAACTAAAACTTTTCTCTGAAACTTGAGTTTTGCTGAATTTATTTGAAAACATCTTAACACTCTAGCTAAATAAAATGATCCTAAATCCTCAGAGCTCCAGGAGTATAATATGACTCAGAGACAATTCTTTCTTTAATTTGATGTTTTTGAATGAATCTTATCTCATTTTAGTACACACATTTTTTATTATTTCACATAAATTCAGTTGTGTAACTTCTATTCAGGCAGAATACTTTATTGAAGTTGTCATTATCAATTTGTCTCTCATATTTTCTTGCATAAAATCCCACCTTGACACATCTGAGGATACTGTTCTACTTGACAGATTAAAGGGGTTTCCACAGGTGAAATGAGCCTAAGACTAAGAAAAGTATTTCTGCCAATCTAATAGAATCCTTTCCAATTCCATGCCTTTGTTTGAGTGTACGGAATGACCTTAAGTAAGAAGTCTGTCATGTTCTGAATGGTGTAGAATATTCAGTTCACTGGAAACACTTTCTTCTAGTATATTATTATTAAGAGAAGTGTCATCTTGGCAGTAACAAAAATGTTTTGGTTCTCAAAGATACCATTTGTTAGTGTGATTTATGACAGATTAATGAAAGGCAGGACAGTTGGGTAAGGAGTACTATTCCCAAGCAATTACTAAGATTGAAATATCATTTTATCTTTTCAGGTTTCCAGCTTCTGCAGTTTCTGTTTTGAAGAGCCAGCACTTACGGCAGAAACTTCTTCAGTCTCTGTTTCTTGATAAAGTGTATTGGGAAAGTCAAGGAGGTAGACAAGGAATTGAAAAGCTTATCGATGTAATAGAACACAGAGCCAAAATTCTTATCACCTATATCAATGCACACGGGGTCAAAGTATTACCTATGAATGAATGACAAAAGAATCTTCTGGCTAGGGTGTTAGATATATTTATGCATTTTTGGTTTTGTTTTTAAATCAAGCACATCAACCTCAAGCCCGTTTAGCAATGAGGCAGTGTAGATGAATACGTAAAATAAATGACTTTAACCAAGTAGCTATAATGGGACTTAGCACTGTATGCATACTTAAAAAGGTTTTGAAAAACAAACTACTTGAGAAATATTTGTTTATATTTTTCTCTAACATCATGCTATGTGTCAGTCTGAACATCTGACAACAGAAATTTCAGTTATTATTCTAGCTAAGTTTTGAAAACATTTGTCATGCTGTTTAATAGAAAACTGCAAACCAGAGACACTGACTCCATTAATAAACCATATTTTGTGCCGTTTTGACTGTTCTGACCAAATACTAATGGGAACAATTCTTGACGTTTTTCTGTTGCTGATTGTTAACATAGAGCAGTCTCTACACTACCCTGAGGCAACTCTACATTGGAACACTGAGGCTTACAGCCTGCAAGAGCATCAGAGCTGACCATACATTTAAACAGAAATGCTGGTTTATTTGCAAAATCACCAGTATATTTTCTATTGTGTCTATAAAAAATCAGTCATTTAAGTACAAGAATCATATTTTCCATTCCTTTTTAGAAATTTATTTTGTTGTCCCTATGGAAATCATTCACATCTGACAATTTATATGTTAAAGAGTTTTACTCTCTCTATTTTGGTCCAATTTGTATCTAGTGGCTGAGAAATTAAATAATTCTAAAGTATGAAGTTACCTATCTGAAAATGTACTTACAGAGTATCATTTTAAAATGGATGTCTCTTTAAAAATTTTGTTACTTTTACCAACAATGTAATATAATTTATGTATATTTTATTAATAATAGTGAATTCCTTAAAATTTGTTCTATGTACTTATATTTAATTTGATTTAATGGTTACTGCCCAGATATTGAGAATTGGTTCAAATATTGAGTGTGTTTCAATATATTATCTGGCTTATTTCAACATGAGTAATATGAGCAAAATAAGTTAAAACCTGCGTCTGATCAATTTTCCTCATGACTAGAACTAAAACAGTAAATTTGGACAATATTAAGCCTCAAATAATCATCTCCAAACTCCTTCTAACACTTTTTAAATCAGATTGGAAGACATGGACAAATCAGGTTCATGTGTTGCATCTTTATGTCCTTTGCCAATATCCAAGATCATCACATATGGTAGATATTCACATGGAGTTTCAAATTCAGAATAGATTACCATTACCTTCCTGCCCTTACACATCCTACTCCTTATTTAAAAGTTCTATTTGTGACTTTTCATTTCCTGAAAGTTTAAAAATACAATTTGAGAATGTTTATAATACATTCTCTCCTGTCTTTTCACGGTTACGTCTGTTATTGCTGAAATACACCACATTTTCTTTGTTCTGGTCAAGGTTAACTCAATATCTGTGTGAAAGAGAACTACTAACAACGTTACAATAGAGGCTAGATTTGAAAAAAAAAATCTATAGATCTAATTGATACAATTGTAGAACAAAATGTCAAAATAATGTTTTAAGTATAAGAGAAGATGGACCAAGGAGAGAGAGATCATTTGAAAATCTAATTGTAGCTTTTCTAGGCTCACATTCATGTACTACTTTTAGCACCCTTATGGGCTGTGCTCGCCCCCTGGACAGTTGAGCTTTGGATTATCTTCCTCTTCAATTTTCCCTCTATTGACCCGAGTGTCTCCCTCTGCTTCTACAGATTTATAGTACTCCTTGGCTCTTTTGAGTCTCCACTTTTACTCACTGTCTCTGGGATTTTTAAGATCCTTTTCTTCTCTTATAAATCATCCTCTTAATGAAAATTAGCCTAACAAAAGTTTGGAGACTGGAATCCTACTTTGAGCCACTGACTTGAAATAACTCTTTTGGCAAGTTGCCTGACATCCTGTCTTACCAAGGTGGCATATTTGCATTTTTACTGCTTAAAACATTTTTTTTTTTTTACCATCTTTATCCAAATTTATCATATTGATGGTAGGACTAACAGGCTTTTTAGAAGCTGGCTTTAACTTTGAGTCTCAAGCTACAATGCTGTTGGGCAGCCTGGTCTTCCCACGTGAGGGTTTAACTTTGTTTATTTGCCTCCAGTTATTCCAAAATGCTTATTAAATGAAAGTCCCAGGAACATGTTTATTTTAGTCACCTTTGCTTTTTAACAATTTTGTTTTGTAATCAATGAGTAATTCATGATGAATTATTTTTGACTAATGGATAGCCGAAGGCCAGGCTTTTAATTCTAATAGGTAATGTTCTTCTTTTGTCTTATTGAAACAATGAGAATACTCTGTGCATTTCAAATGCACTCCGATTATGCTGTGGTTTTATTCACATAAGCACAATATGTGTTTTATTTATAACTTCATAACAAACTTATAATATAATAATTTACCTTAGCAGACATGCAAAAGCTTATTCTTGTGTGACTTACTTTCTTTAAGCTAATAATATAAAAATAAATATGTATCTTAAAAATCTATAATAAAACATTAGAAATTAAAGATATGTGCTTTTTATTTTGCAGATGAGTTCATTTGCTTTTGTAGATGTGTTTTCAGAGCTAGGTACAGAGGAATGTTTGCTACCTTTAGCGGTGAAAAAAGAAAGAGAGTCAAGAATTTTGTTGGATTGTGTTTGTGTGTGCATATATTTGATATCATCATTATATTTGTAATCTTTGGACTTGTAATCATAGCCTGTTTATTCTACTGTGCCATTAAATATACTTTACCTTATACATAACGAATAAAATACCTAGAAGTAGATTTATTTACACACTGTCTTATGAAATTCTTATGTTTATGTCAGCACAGAACAAGCACACATTTAGAGCATTCATCTGAAAATTATATGGAAATTGAACATGGGTCAAATAAAGATGATAAAGACCTTTTTTAAAAAATTAAGTATCATAAACAATAATCAAGAACTTTCATGCATGAAAGATAACTAGAATTGACTTGTCAGATAAAGATGATAAAAATTGACACTTGGGACTACTAGAGGGGGACAAGTGTTGAAAAACTAACTCTTGGGTATTATGCTCAGCACCTAGGTGATAGGATCATTCATATCCCAAACCTCAGCATCACGCAGTATGCCCAGGCAAGAACCCAGCACATTTACCCCCTGAATCTAAAATAAATGTTGAAAAGGAAGAAAAAAAGAAAGAATTGACTTGTCAGAAAAATTATATGAAACGTGGAAATAGCCAGAAGAGAGTTTTGTGTGTTTTTTCAGTGCAATGCTGGGATTAATTTTCTATTACATAGGCTACTTAACAATGCAGGAGGGGAGAGACTTGTAGACTTTTGTTCCATAGAGATACAAATAATTTCCTTCTGGTGGAAGAGATAACCTTAATAATTGGGCATTAACCAGTTTTAAATCTAGTCCAACAATCTTATCCTAATATTGCCTATAAACATTTAGCTTTTGAAATACTCTTTTAAATGGTTTTTACCATCTCACCGGTTCCATCATTAATTGATTATTTGAATAAAATCTTTATATTCATTTAACATTTTCATACGAATCAGTTTTTTATCTTTTGAAAATTTTGCTTTAATAAACATTTGACCACAGAGCCATATAATTTTATTTCCTTGAGAGTCATGATTTTACATTTTGGAAAATTTTACTTTAATAAACTTTCAAAATACAACTTATACAATTTTTTTTTTTTTTGAGACGAAGTCTTGCTCTGTCACCCAGGCTGGAGTGCATGGCAAGATCTCAGCTCATTGCAGCCTCTGCCTTCTGGGTTCAAGGGATTTTCCTGCCTCAGCCTCCTGAGTAGCTGGGATTATAGGCGCCTGCCACCATACCCTGCTAGTTTTTGTATTTTTAGCAGAGATGGGGTTTCACCATGTTGGCCAGGCTGGTCTGGTACTCCTGACCTCAGGTGATCTGCCTGCCTTGGCCTCCCAAAGTGCTGGAATTACAGGCATGAGCCACAGCACTTGGCTAACACAATTTTATAATAAAATGGGACCATGAAGTCAGCATCTTGTCCAACAACTTCATCCTCCCGATGGAGAAACTGAGGCTTAGTGAGGCAAAGTGACTTGCCCCAGTCTATACAAACTGTTGACCTAGAATCTTCAATGTTGAAATTGACTTAGAAAGTTGGAAAGCCAAGATATTCTCAGAGATTTATTATCTACCAAGATAAAATAAGAAATCTCAACTTTATAAACCTTGAAGGTTTTACAGGCATATTCATATGTAGTAATAATTTTAGGGCACTGTTTTATGAACATTTGGAGAGCAGAATAAACAAGAAAGCTACTTATATTATGAAACTTTTGATGATTACATTGCACAGTTGATCGAGAATTTACTATGTGTTATGCTCTGTTAAACAATGCAGATACATGAATTAATAAGTAAATTTTTAACATGTTAACCATCAATCAAGACCTGTAATTGGGCTTTAAGTTATATCTTCAGTAGCAAAAACGTAGGAAAACAATTCTTTTGAGAAGTGTCCAGAAATGAACTCTTATTAGACTAGAGAGGGGATTTGGTACTCACAGTAAGAGTTTGCCTATCTATAGTTTATTGTCAATGATTGCTGCTTGAAATGATAGTTCAGAGTCACATTGTGGCTAAATGATCTAATCACCTCAATATGTTCTGCAGACATCATCATGTTCCAGTGTCGTGTTACAATAATAGATTAACACTGTTTTGCAACCTAATGAATATACTGATTTATCAGAAATGCATTAATTTATGTTCTGTGTTGTACCAGTGGTATTTAGCCTTTTATGAGATCTGGATCTCTTTGAGAAGCTGATTAAAAGTTCAGCTGTCCATACAGTTCTGTATATAGTTTCATGGGGCTCTCAGATCTGCAGATACCCATTTATGGAGCTCTTCCCTCCCAGGTCTGTGGTCTCCCAGCTTAAGAAAGCTTGCTTTCCAGTGTATTTAAGAAGATGGGAAATTATATTATTTGCATTCAGAAGATCTTCACCTAATATATTTTAAAAGCCTTGTTTTTATGCAAAGGTGAAAACTTAGGTTTTGGTAAAGAATATTTAATGAGATACTTTATTCAACCAATGAAAGTTGAGAGACAGTTTACTTTACCAATTCTTAAACATTTTCAGCCCATACCATCAATTCCAAATTCACTACCATTTACTTAATCAACTACAGAAACAAACCTTCGAGTTTATTTTCACTTCAACCTTTAATTTATTAAAAATTACCAGTTACCTGTTTTATTTGCTGTGAAATACAAAAGATCTCAGATAGTCCCTTTTAAAATTGTGTTTTGCACAGAAACAAAAAACCAAACACTGCATGTTCTCACTCATAAGTGGGAGTTGAACAATGAGAACACATGGACACAGGGAGGGGAACATCACACACCGGGGTCTGTTGGGGGGTGGTCTGTTGGGGGGTGGTCTGGAGCTAGGGGAGGGATAGCATTAGGAGAAATACCTAATGTAGATGACGGGTTGATGGGTGCAGCAAACCACCATGGCACGTGTATACCTATGTAACAAACCTGCACGTTCTGCACATGTATCCCAGAACTTAAAGTATAATAAAAAAATTGTGTTTTGGAGTATGGGAGAAATATAGTCAATGTTGAATGATTTACTGCCAGTGGTTTTCTGGGCATCACCATAATGCTCCTGCTTTTTATTAAACAATTTCCTAAACAAATGAATGAATTTTTCCTAAAGGAATTATTTCCTTGACATTTATGCAAAGAACTGTAACCATTTCTTACTGTTATTTTGGCCTGTTAGAGGAGTTTGAAGTGTCTATGCTCCTGTCATCTTTTGCCCCACTTCCAATTTACACACAGCTGTCTTATGTCAAAATATGACATCTTCACCGATTTTTAAGCTCTGTAGTCCTCCGGGATAGGGCTTTGCTGTAAGAAAGGTCTGACTAAGAAGGGTTGCTGGCAGACTGTTTTGCAACCTAAAAATGCACATGGTAAGCCAATGAAGTCACAGGATTCCTTTCTTAAAACGGCATTGCATGTGGTTAAATTTGTTCAACATTTTTTTTCATCTTAGAAAGGTACCATTTTATCCTCATGACTCCAAAGTGTATTTAGTTTGTTGATAAAAATATGCACAGTCATGTGTATATTAAGAAATCTGTGTCTTCTTTTAAGAAAGTTATCTGTATTTTGTAAGAGTACTTGTCAAGATTTCTAAAGCTTTTGAGACAAAGAGCTAACAAATAAAAAAAAAACTCTTGTCAGTGGCTTTAATCATTGCTGCAGAATAGCCAGCTGTGCTATATTTCGAAAGGCAAACTGGACTGCAGAGAGTGGGACAAGTCACTGAATAAGACTGAAACAGCTGCGATTCTGCAAGAAGTGCCGACAGTTTCTTTAGCTTCAGGACACCAGACGCTATTTGGTTTATAAAGTACCCTATGTTATTGGCTCTGCTTCTGTTTAGAAGAACAAGATATTTTGTTCTGTACACTCATTTCAGGCTCTCAAGAGTATTAAAAAACCCCATCATTCTCAGCAAACTAACACAAGAACAGAAAACCAAACACCACATGTTCTCACTCATAAGTGGGAGTTGAACAATGAGAACACATGGACACAGGGAGGGGAACATCACACACCAGGGCCTGTGGAGGGGTTGGGGCTAGGGGAGGGATAGCATTAGGAGAAATACCTAATGTAGATGACGGGTTGATGGGTGCAGCAAACCCATGGCACGTGTATAACAAACCTGCACGTTCTGCACATGTATCCCACAACTTAAAGTATAATAAAAAGGAAAGAAAAGAAAAAAGAAACAACTATGATCCAGATATTCCCTCTAACTTTCTGAGAATACATTATTATTAAACTTGCAAGATTCAGTTCTTTTGAAAGAGAATGAGCAAATAATCTGTAGCTCCTCCTAGGAGGGAGTCAATTTTCTTCTCTTTTAATCAGGTAACAAATGACAGTTATGACTTTCCCAGGAGTTTTGGTGGCTATTATGGCAATGCTATTTGCTGTTCTTATTGAGTATTGCTGTTAGTATTCCTTTGTTGCTTGTGATACCAAAAGTTTTATCTCAGACAGAAAGAATATGTTATGTTTAGAGAGGAGGGATGTGGCAGCATCCAGAGAAGCAAATTCCTAATTAAGGACAAATTTCTAATTAAAACCTGACTTTAGCCTGGGTTTTCTTTTTATTTATTTTATTATACTTTAAGTTTTAGGGTACATGTGCACAACGTGCAGGTTAGTTACATATGTATACATGCGCCATGTTGTTGTGCTGCACCCAGTAACTCGTCATTTAGCATTAGGTATATCTCCAAATGCCATCCCTCCCCACTCCCCCTGCCCCACAACAGGCCCCAGTGTGTGATGTTCCCCTTCCTGTGTCCATGTGTTCTCATTGTTCAATTCCCACCTATGAGTGAGAACATGTGGTGTTTGGTTTTTTGACCTTGCGATAGTTTGCTGAGAATGATGGTTTCCAGCTTCATCCATGTCCCTACAAAGGACGTGAACTCATCATTTTTTATGGCTGCATAGTATTCCATGGTATATATTGCCACATTTTCTTAATCCAGTCTATCATTGTTGGACATTTGACTTGGTTCCAAGTCTTTGCTATTGTGAATAGTGCTGCAATAAACATACGTGTGCATGTGTCTTTATAGCAGCATGATTTATAATCCTTTCAGTATATACCCAGTAATGGGATGGCTGGGTCAAATGGTATTTCTACTTCTAGATCCCTGAGGAATCGCCATACTGACTTCCACAAGGGTTGAACTAGTTTACAGTACCACCAACAGTGTAAAAATGTTCCTATTTCTCCACATCCTCTCCAGCACCTGTTGTTTCCTGACTTTTTAATGATCGCCATTCTAACTGCTGTGAGATGGTATCTCATTGTGGTTTTGATTTGCGTTTCTCTGATGGCCAGTGATGATGAGCATTTTTTCATGTGTCTTTTGGCTGCATAAATTGATAGACCGCTAGCAAGACTAATAAAGAAGAAAAGAGAGAAGAATCAAATAGATGCAATAAAAATGATAAAGGGGATATCACCACCGATCCCACAGAAATACAAACTACCATCAGAGAATACTATAAACACCTCTACGCAAATAAACTAGAAAATCTAGAAGAAATGGATAAATTCCTCGACACATACACCCCCCCAAGACTAAACCAGGAAGAAGTTGAATCTCTGAATAGACCAATAACAGGCTCTGAAATTGAGGCAATAATTAATAGCTTACCAACCAAAAAAAGTCCAGGACCAGATGGATTCACAGCCGAATTCTACCAGAGGTACAAAGAGGAGCTGGTACCATTCCTTCTGATACTATTTCAATCAATAGAAAAAGAGGGAATCCTCCCTAACTCATTTTATGAGGTCAGCATCATCCTGATACCAAAGCCTGGCAGAGACACACACACACATAAAAGAGAATTTTAGACCAATATCCCTGATGAACATCGATGCAAAAATCCTCAATAAAATACTGGCAAACCAAATCCAGCAGCACATCAAAAAACTTATCCACCATGATCAAGTGGGCTTAATCCCTGGGATGCAAGCCTGGTTCAACATATGCAAATCAATCAACGTAATCCAGCATATAAACAGAATCAATGACAAAAACCACATGATTATCTCCATAGATGCAGAAAAGGCCTTTGACAAAATTCAACAACCCTTCATGCTAAAAACTCTCAATAAATTAGGTATTGATGGGACGTATCTCAAAATAATAAGAGCTATCTGTGACAAACCCACAGCCAATATCATACTGAATGGGCAAAAACTGGAAGCATTCCCTTTGAAAACTGGTACAAGACAGGGATGCCCTCTCTCACCACTCCTATTCAACATAGTGTTGGAAGTTCTGGCTAGCCTGGGTTTTCTAAATCCCAGAACTGGGGACCTTTTGAGTCAGATAATTCTTTGTCACGGGTAGCTGACCTGTGGATTGCAAGATGTTCAGTAGCATCCCTGGACTCTACCCATTAGATGCCAGTAGCAGCCCCTATAGGTGTGACAGCAAAGAATTCTCTAGACATTGCACAATGTCTCTGGGAGGCACAATCATTTCCCAGTTGAGAACCACTGCTTTAGCCCATTGATAGTCCTTTATAAAGGGTAACACTTTCACCATTTTTTGGTTTTCTCACATTTCATTTATGAAGATTTTCTCTGTCAAATTCCTTGTATTGTAATTTATGGCCACATTGTATGACATTGGTAATAGCCCTAGGAGGTCTGATGGTTTGGAACAAAGGATGCTTGAGCAAAGCCACATGAGAGTCAGAAGGAAGAAGCATCTTGAGCTCTGAAATAAAATGTAGAGGTGAAGAATAAATCTGGGAGCATATAATAAATTAAGTATCAGGGTGAAAATTTTAAAATGGGTTGTTGTTGCAGATAAGAGTGCTTGCAAATCTGTGTTTTCCATCCTGTGTCCCAGGACTCAGTATCTGTATTCTTTAAGAAGATAACCTGGACTGTAAAGAAGCTGATTCCCCTCAGGAACCTTGTGGGAGCCTCCTCTGAAAGAGGAACAAAGAAATGGAAAGTAGGTTTTTCCCTACCAGCAATAGAGGAGAAAGAATAGCAAAATGCACTAGAGTGGAATTGTTTTAGCCATGATATAGTCAGCCACCATGGAGCAGTGCAGTCACAGTGTCAGTCAGGGTAGGTTAAGTAAAGCTATGGTAACAAAATGCCATTAAATCTCAGTGGCTTAAAACACAAAGGGAGATTTCTCATAGCACATGTCCATCACAGATTGGCAGGAGAGTTTTACTCTTTGTAGAATTTTATTCTATTTTATTAAAATGGTAGCCTTTTTTCTTTTTATTGATGCATAATACTTTTCCATATTGATGTACATGTGATATTTTGATACATACATACAATGTAATGTATTTGTAATGAATAAATCAGGGTTATTAAGATATCCATGACCTCAAACATTTCTTCTTCACCTAAACAATTTATTTCAGAGCCCAAGATATTTCTTCCTCCTGAGCTTCACGTGGCTTTCTCAAAGCTCCCTTTTCCCAGAAACCCGGGCTGATGGAACAGCCTGAATGCTTCCATCTCTGTGCCTGAGCGGGACAAAGTTCTGAAGGGCCTTTCACTTCCACACACAACTCACTGGACAAAAGTAGCCGGAAAAGGAAAGACACTAGAAATATCTGGTGAATAATGTTAACTGCAGTGTATGGTGAAAGCTACACGTGGCACCTCTCATTATATCTGAGACAGCACAACTTAAACTTATTATTGTTTTTCCAATAACCTTTTACTTTTGGGAACCTTCCACCCCAGTCCACCCTAATCTCACGTCTGCCCTGGATTCCAGGCCATAGTGAATAGGTCCTGTGATGTACATATGACTTAAGCTGGGCAAATCACAATCTTCTTTTTCAGCTCTGTTTCATGTCATAATTCATTGGTTCAAAATTGAACACCTGACCTAAGTGGGCCAATCTGAATACTTCCCTCAGAATTTTATTTTATTATAATGGTGAAATTTTTTCTTTTTAAAAATTGATACATAATAATTGTGCATATTTATGAGGTATGTATGATATTTTGATATATACACACAATGTGTAATGATCAAATCAGAGTTATTAAGATATGCATGGCTGGAAACATTTATCATTCCTTTGTGTTGGAAACATTTTAAATCTTCTCTCTAGCTATTTTGAAATATGTAATAAATTAAAAGTGTATTGATAAATATAGTCACCTTACCCTGCTATCAAACATTAGAACTTACACCTTCTATCTAACTGTATGTTTGTACTCATTAGCCAACCTCTCTTCATCCCTCCCATTCCCCACCCCCGCCATATACTTCCCAGTGCTCTGGTAATCATTATTCTACTCTCTACCTCCATGAAATAACTTTTAAGTCCTGCATATGGTGAGAACATGTGATATTGTCTTTCTGTGCCTGGCTTATTTCACTTAACATTATAACCTATAAGTCCCTTAGAATATTAGAACTGAAAATGAGGAAAAGAAACCAGGACCAAAGACTAAAGTAATAATGTATAATCTTCCAGTGATTTTAGCCATGATTTCTTCTATGTGAGCTGGAGAAACTTAATTGTAGGTAGAGAAAGAGAGAAGAAATATGGAAACAGATACCCAAGGAAGATCTGATGTGAAAGGAATCTTGTGGCTTTTGATTTCTTTGTTAGTTGCTTTAAAGTTTCCTCCTAGTTCTTGGTTTCTGTGAAATGACTGAGTATCCTTTTATAATTCACCTTTTAGCTAATGCTTAATCTAAATGGATCATTCTTCTGATACTTACAATGAACAGAAAATCTATAATTTATTTCTAAAGAAATTTCTTTGTTTATTCATCAATTTTAGAAAGTATATCATTATTCTTCCTATGACAGATTAAAAAGTTTGTGCTCTTAGATTTTTCCCCTACTTCCTCCATTCACAAATTAACTTTTAAAAAATTTACCATCATTCTTACATTGTTACTATCCTTAATATTTACCTTCTGTTTCCTACTCTGTCACAGGTGCATTAGTTCTATATTTGAATGGATTTCATGCCCACCATCAATTACAACTTCTTCCTTCCTGATGTTTTTATTTTATTTCATTCATTTCATTTTTGACTGGCTTCATTATCAAGCAATTTTTACATACCTACTCATAAGTTCCATCTTCACTGAGCTTTGTTCATTTGTGAATCTCACTCTGTTATGTTTATGTATGTAAACAATGATCTGGCTGATATAAAATCTGGAGTTCTTATTTTTTCCCTTGAAAGTCTGTAGACATATTCTAGCACTGTCATCTGACATTGAACATTGTGATAAGATTTCTGAGGCAACTCTGTTTTTTTTCCCTCTAACTTTTAGGTGATTTGCTTTCCAATTTTAAGGCTCATTGAATTCTTTCTTGATTTTTTTTCTTTTTTTTTTGGATTTATTTTTCCTTCATATATTCTTTGAGGAATACGTTCTCAGGACTCATCTTAAAGTTGGTCATTCTGTATTGTATTTTCCTGAAACAAAATATGCTATCGACATATTTACATTTTACTTTATTTTAGGAAGATTTTACAATATATATTTGAACATATTTTTGGTTTTGTTTGTTCTATTTTCAGGTTAAGAAAAACTTATGATGTGTGTATGGAATCTGCTTTCAAATCAATTTTATTTTCCTTCTTTGCTTCCTTTTCTTTATTTTTTCTTTATTATATGTACTATTTCCTCAAGTGTTTTCTTTATATACCTCATTCTATTTCAGCAATATCTATTCTACTTCTTACTGCTTCTAATTAGTTTTAATTCTTCCAATTACTTTATTATCTTCAAGTCTCTTTTCTGCTTTTCCAGCTCAGTTTTCATCTTTCAGTGATTTGTTTGCTATAAATTTTTCATATTTGTTTTGATCTAGGTTTTCAGAGAAATTAAAGTTTTTGGAATTGAATTTAAATTAATTGACATTGAATACTGCATTACCATATCAGCATCAAGATACAGATTTCCATCACTGTAGAATGTCTGTTGACCAATGCTGCTCTAGAGCACAGGTATTGCTCTGTACTTTTGTGTGGGATATACTATGCATTTTCTGTGCTCAGCAGCAGTTACTGTTTTGTTCTTGTCTTCTGACTTCCCTCCCTACCTACCAGGCAGCATATCTAGGTTAGGGCTTTGTTCTCAGAATAATAAGACAGAGTATCTCTAGGTACTAGGTTAGGGCTTTGTTCTCGCAATAATAAGACAGCATCTCTAGATACTAGGTTAGGGCTTTGTTCTCAGAACAATGAGACAGAGTATCTTTAGAGACACTAAGTCAGCCCTCCTCCTGTGCTTTTCCATGCTGCAGAACTAGACCCCCACAAATATGCACCCCCTTCCTCCCATCTCCAGTCTTTGAAAGACCAAATAAAAGATCCTTCTTAGGTATCTTAGAACCCAATTAAAAACAAAAAAGCTACACATTGCTTATTACCTGGGAAATATGCATAGTTGTTTTGGTTCTCCTCCAATTGGCGTAAATGCTACTATATATAGCTGCTATTTCTCCTAGGCTCTATTTTTGGTAGTAGTCATTTTACCAGTTTTATGCTAAATGCAGCATTCTTTCCCATAGTTTCATCCTCTTTATTTATTTCAGTGATTTGCAACAAATAATGTTTTGCTCTTTTTCCTATTTTGTTTTATTGAGAGGTTATTATAAATTCTTTAAAAAGGCAGCCATGTGATGAAGATATTTGTTAGAGTAGATTGGTGTGTATGTTGTGGAAAGGAATAAGGAAGACATGGGAAGTAATTTAGAAAGTTCTAGGAGTTACATAGGCATGAAATAATCAAGGAATGAAGTAGGATGGGACTAATTCTGAAGTGTTTTTGTACATAATTGTGGACCATTACATATTTTAAGATTCAAAGGTAATTTACTAACCATTCTAAGAAAAATATCGTTGCTAAGGGAAACAGCTTTAAAAACGTTCTAGAAACACTATGCAAAACAGGCGCTTCAGGCTTTAGATATACTTTTCTTAGCTTTAGTCACACCAATAGTCTTCTCTAAAGAGCTGATCTAAACCAGAGAGAAGATCACCTGAGGATACATCATTGAGAAAAATTTAGACACACACACACACACACACACACACACACACACACACAAAACAGCCAATCCATATAAAGAGTTAGATTGTTTTCTTTTTCTCTTTTCATAATGAACAGACTGATTTATTTTCACAGTTGCCTATACACCAAGCTACTAGGATGACCAGGATAAGAGGCTCAACTCAGGCTGAGTTACCCCAAACCGTGAGATTCCATTTACACTTTGGGATTTTCGTGGCTCAAGTAGTGCTCAGCTGGCGATGATTAAAGAATTCACTTGCTAATTTGATTTCTCTAGGGCTTTATTTACTCCTTCATGTAACAAATATTTACTGAGTGCCAACTATATGCCAGGCATTGCTTTAGGTCGTGGGATAGCTCAGGGAACAAGAATTGAATGCATTTGTCTCTAGTAACTTCCTTTCTTCAAGCCTTTAATCATTAAACTGTAACAGTTAATGTCTGTGTGTATAACAGAATCAGGAACATTAGCCAGATACTATTCATACATAAGAGAAATTTATTTTATATAGAATTCCCTTAGTCTTCCCCTTCTGTTCTTCAAATGTTCCTACTAAAAAAAAAAAACATTAGTTTTCAGACATCTTTGAAAAGATAATCAGAATCTTTTGTATAATATAAAATACCCTTCGTAATAGCTCTAGTCAATGTATTTTTTTTTTTTTTTTTGGTCAGTAATTGTGTATTTTGTGCAATTTTACATTCTGGTCTTCTTCCATTTTATCCTTGGTAGAAAAAAACCTACCCTATAAATCATGACAAAGACTACAGAAAGAAATAGCTTGGATTTTTGCCAATCTTGGTAGTGTACTTTTAAATCAAGGAAATGTTCTAAAACCAATATTTAAATAGCACATTGGGCAAATTGTTCTGTCCTGAATAAAATGGATGACATTTTTTGAAGAGGAGGAGAAATGGGAAACAGAGAGGAAGTTCAAGAAGCCATTCTCTGTGAGCTGGCTTTCCTTTGTTGCAAAATAGTCCCCTTCAAGGGCCTTCAACATCCTCAATCTCTTTTTTCCATTACTGGCAATCCTCTTTTCTTCTTTTTGCACTTTGTTTCTGAGTGTATTGCAAAATTGCTACCTCAATTTATTTTTTTCTAGGAGCCTTTTCAAGGCACTTTCTGACTAGTTATTCTGACTAGTAATAACTAGTTTCTGACTGGTTATTCTGACTAGTAATAACTAGTTTCTGACTAGTTATTACTAGTTATTGAGGTAACTTTTCTGCAATGTCCAGCCATATCATTTGCGTAAAGTCTCTGGTGTATCTTTCCCTTTCTCACTGATGCTGACCCTCTCCTGCTCTTGGCTGTAATGCAGAGACGCACCTTTGATATTCTGACCCTTCTCATGTGCCCTTCTCACTCACCTTAGTGCCCTCCCCACTTCCCTCCACTGCATTGTTACTTTCAAAGAGATCCATAGCTTTTTTCCTACTATCTAAGCAAATGATAGCCTCGCCCTTGCTGACTACCTCCACAAACCTCTTGCCTATCTTATCTTTCAACTCTTTAAATGTTTCTTATGTAAGTATTGGATGCCATTGAAATCCATTGAAAGAGCAAGGGGCAAATAATAGAGAAAATGACACAATTGGAAACTTGGTCAGTTTATTTGAACTTATCTGGTATAAATTTTCCATTTACATTGGGAACAAGATTGCATGTGAGGTCTAGAGAGTTGAGGACAGAAAAACTTGTATCAGATGTGCCACCTTAATAACAGCTACTTGTGTCATGTTCTTACTGCTAGAGAGGCATGGCACAATTCACTTCAAAAATAATATCTACTTTATTCTTCACAACAGCTCTATCAGAAAAATGAGAAAATGGAAAGATGAAGAAGCTAATAATTTATTCAAGATCAAACTGCCAAGAAGTGACCAAACTACCTTGGATTCAGATCCAAATCGGCTGGACTTCCCCACTTACGCTTATGACCGCTGAGCCACGCCACCTTCCCAAGTTCATCCAGTGCTCTCTCAACTCTGTCAAACTGGCTTCCCTGAAATAATTTGTATTTCTTATCCACAGTGGGATAAATTAGAGAAACCATAGCCAGGTGTGTAAGTGGAAAGATTGACTAATAGACATCTGATAGAGCAAACAGCCTAAGTCTGCAATATCTCTCTCAGGTCTGTCTTTATTCAAGTGTATGAGATGGTGGTAATCATCAATGTTCCCCAGTATCAGTACCTAATATTTAAAAGGGTTATCACGTTGGGCCATACGTTTGGGCTTGATGATTCACAGGAGGTGAAGAGAACTTCAACTCTCAATTGCAATCCCAATGCATTTGTCATGATGCTGAGTTACACAGAACTAGGGCACATGTAAAATAAATACCTCTTTTTGTTCCAAGCCTTGTGAGCATTTTTCTTGATGCATTTGGATTTCTCCAGTAAGAAAATGACAATGTAAAGCCATTCTTTACATTCAATGTTGTGAGTTTGAACAAAGGGCTGTGAGACTGCTATGATGTGAAAGCTGGCAAAGTTCACAGAACAAAGGAGGGCAAAGCCCCCTTAAAATCACAGCATTCCACTTCATTTTACTTTGTGTTGTTATGTTGAAAACTGAATTTGCTAGTTTGCAAGTAGATATAATGGCCAGTAGAGCTTGGTCAACTCATTAGTTAGTGTGTTTTAAAGCAAGAGATTAGAAAAAACAAAGAACAGATTTAAACTCATATAAAATCAGCTCTGTAGTGAAAAGAATTCTTACTTTCATTCAGAGTCATATAAAAAAGTTTATTTTCATGACCAAAAAGTGATACTTCATAAAATTTGATAGCATTGCTTTGATTGAAATATTATTTTTGCACTCTTGTTACCAGTTGTAGGGATGACAACACCCTTAAAAATAGCAGTAACACTCCAATATATATTCAACAACCCAATATCTATTTGGTTGGCTTATATAAGAGTTGGCTTATATTGAGGATTGGGAAAGATTGAGAGTTAAAAACATAAATGTCTCTCTTTATAGGCAAGCACAGTTTTTTCTAATAATCCTGGGATTCTCTGTGCTGCCATCTCATCAGGAACATCAGGCAGCATTAAAGCCAAGGGGATATCTGAGAATTTGACACACAAAGTAATAGGAAATTCATGACTTCAATCTAGTTTTCTTTGAGGGAATGAGGTGCTTTTGCAGGATGCTGTGTTCTTTCTTATAAAGCCAAGATAATCTATTAAATCTATTCCACTGACATAACATAGAAGTGAGAGGGAGAAGCTGTTCCCAAAGAAGTGGTTAAGACAAAAGCCATTTTACAAGATGTTATTACTGAAAAGCAAACCTCCATAAATTATATTTATCAAGACATGCACTTCCACAGTAGTTGATTTGTTTTTATTAATGTACTTCCCCATCACAATCCAAAAACTTGAAGCACCTAGTTTCCAGTTAAGAGTAGCAAAATATGAAGTTACAAAAATACTGATAATGAGCAAAAAACTTGAATGTTGGACAATAGAAAAGAAAGAGACTAAGACATAAAGTGATTATTCTGAAGAAGTTTGGTATTGGATATAGGACCTTCTGAAACATAGAAAAACCAGCAAATTACTCAGAATGAGGACAATAAATGTGATAAGCACCTGGACGAAAGATGTCTCCAATGTCACAGCTACATAAAAGTTTCACCAATTCCAATATTACTTTTGAATATTAGAACCAAATTATAATGTATATTTATATGATATAATATCTATGGATTTAATGCATTTATAAGATATATTGTTATACATATATGTATATATTCAATATACATAAATTCATCAAATATATATGAGCATATGTATATGCATAAATATGTATATAATTATATATATGCACTTATAACATATGTATGAATATTATAGGCATATTTCTCTATATTATCCAATGTGTTAACTATTTTTTAATTGTATATATAGGTTATTCTTTAGTGTGTGTTCAGTCACATGCATCTAAACTTGAAGTCCTTATGAAATCAAGACTAAGAGAACCTCTTCAGCTGATGTTAGCCTAGTGATCACTCCTGTTAAAATTTCTGGTAGGTGATAACTAATTGCTTTAACAAATGTTGTTTGTTACTGAATGCCTGACATATTCCAGGCCCAATAAGAAGTAGTGAATAAAACAGATATGGTTCTTGACTTTTTGAAGCTTACATTTAGGATAGAAGATGTACAGTCAAATTGAAAATTGCAATAAATATTCTAAAAGGTAACAGAAAGGATGTTGTGTTAGTAGAGACTGGGTAATTTAAAAGCAAAGGAGGTTTAATTGGCTCATAGTTCCACAGGCTGTATGGGAAGCATGGCTGGGGAAGAAGCATCAGGAAACTTGTAATCATGGTGGAAGGTAAAGGGGAAGCAGGCACATCTTACATGGTGGGAGCAGGAGCAAGAGGGGGCAAGGAGATGCCACATACCTTTAAACAGCCAGATCTCATGATAACTCACTCACTATTGCAAGAACAATACTGGGGGGAAATCTGCCCCTATGATCCAATCACCTCCCACCAGGCTGCACTTCCAACATTAAGGATTACAATTTGACATGAGATTTGGGTAGCGACACAGATTCAAACCATATCAGATGTGTTACAGGTTGAGGGGTCAACAAAGCTTCCCAGAGGCAGGCATATTTAAACTGAGATCTAAGCTTGAAGTGGAGGAAGAGCATTACAGGCAGAAGAAATAATATGCAAAAAATTCTGGACCTGGAAGAAGGTTCAGTGTCATCCAGAAAATATGGTTGCTAACTTTTCTAAAGCATAATGAATGACAGCCACAAAATGTGGTTAAAGAGATCAGCAGGGCCCAGATCATGAATGCCTCCCTTGAAGACCCTGCTAAGGAATTTGGATTCTTTTGACGTGCAATGAGAAGATCTCCTTGACGTCTGTGTGGAAAATGAACTGGGGTAAGCAAGACGGAAAAAAGTGGAGACAGACTAGAAACATATCCAGTAGCCCTAGTGAGAGATGGTAGACTATGCTAGAGGTAGTGGAGGTAAAAAATGAGGTATTATTAGGGGGTAAAATCAACTAGAATGGGCTATCAAGGTTTCAAGAAAAACTACCAGGTTTGTGACCTGAGCAATCAGCTTCATCACGGTGCCATTAAGTGTGTTGGGAAAGGTCAGGGGAGAAATAGGTTTGGTGAATAAAAACAAAAACACGACTCTGTTTAACATATGTTAATATGCATTCAAATGGAGATTCAAAAGCAGTCTCTCGGCCGGGCGCGGTGGCTCACGCCTGTAATCCCAGCACTTTGGGAGGCCGAGGCGGGTGGATCATGAGGTCAGGAGATCGAGACCATCCTGGCTAACACAGTGAAACCCCGTCTCTACTAAAAATACAAAAAATTAGCCGGGAGCGGTGGCGGGCTCCTGTAGTCCCAGCTACTCGGGAGGCTGAGGCAGGAGAATGGCGTGAACCCAGGAGGCGGAGCTTGCACTGAGCCGAGATCGCGCCACTGCACTCCAGCTTGGGCGACAGAGCCAGACGCTGTCTCAAAAAAAAAAAAAAAAAAAAAAGCAGTCTCTCAACTTTGGCACTATTGTCATTTTGAGCCAAGATAAGTCTTTGGGTGGGGACTCTCCTGGGCATTTTATGAAGTTTTGCAGTATTCTTGGCCTCTACCCACTAGAAACCAGAGGTAGCCCACTCATGTTATGGCAACCAAAAATATCTTCAGACACTGCCAAATACCCACTGGGATAAACACCACCACCAACTGAGAACCACTGGGTTAGAAATATAATTTGGAAGTTGTTGGAATATAGATGAAATTTAGAATTCATGAAAGTGGAAGAAATCATTTAGGAGGTTTTGGTTACATCAAAATGGTATATCAAATAAACACAGAAAGTCCTGCACTATCTTTGAAATAATTGATAAAATATAACAAGATTATACAGTTAATGCTGAGAGCATAGGAAAGAAAGAAAATCCCCAGGCATTAGGATATATATATATGCCATAGATAGATATCTATTCCACAGATATCTATCTATGGAATAGATATCTATTCCACAGATATCTATCCCACAGATATCTATCTATGGAATAAATATCTATTCCACAGATATCTATCTATGGAATAGATATCTATCCACAGATATCTATCTATGGAATAGATATCTATCCACAGATATCTATCTATGGAATAGATATCTATCCACAGATATCTATCTATGGAATAGATATCTAACCACAGATATCTATCTATGGAATAGATATCTATCCATAGATATCTATCTATTCCACATATATCTATCTATTCCATATATATCTATCTATTCCATTCCATAGATATCTATCTATTCCACATATATCTATTCCATAGGTATCTATCTATTCCACATATATCTATTCCATAGATATCTATCTATTCCACATATATCTATTCCTAGATATCTATCTATTCCATGTATATATCTATAGATATCTATCTATTCCATATATATATCTATAGATATCTATCTATTCCATATATATATCTATAGATATCTATCTATTCCATATATATATCTATAGATATCTATCTATTCCATATATATATCTATAGATATCTATCTATTCCATATATATATCTATAGATATCTATCTATTCCATATATATATCTATAGATATCTATCTATTCCATATATATCTATAGATATCTATCTATTCCATATATATATCTATAGATATCTATCTATTCCATATATATATCTATAGATATCTATCTATTCCATATATATATCTATAGATATCTATCTATTCCATATATATATCTATAGATATCTATCTATTCCATATATATATCTATAGATATCTATCTATTCCATATATATATCTATAGATATCTATCCATAGATATCTATCTATCTATACATATCTATCCATAGATATCTATCTATAGATATATATCTATGGATAGATATCTATAGATATCTATCCATAGATATATATATATCTATACATATCTATCCATAGATATATATCTATACATATCTATCCATAGATATAAATCTATACATATCTATCCATAGATATATATATCTATACATATCTATCCATAGATATATATATCTATACATATCTATCCATAGATATATATATCTATACATATCTATCCATAGATATATATATCTATACATATCTATCCATAGATATATATATCTATACATATCTATCCATAGATATATATATCTATACATATCTATCCATAGATATATATATCTATACATATCTATCCATAGATATATATATCTATACATATCTATCCATAGATATATATATCTATACATATCTATCCATAGATATATATATCTATACATATCTATCCATAGATATATATATCTATACATATCTATCCATAGATATATATATCTATACATATCTATCCATAGATAGATATATATCTATACATATCTATCCATAGATATATATATCTATACTTATCTATCCATAGATATAATCTATAGAAATCTATCCATAGATATATATCTATAGATATCTATTCCATAGATATATCTCATCTATTCCATAGGTATATCTCATCTATTCCATAGATATATCTCATCTATTCCATAGATATATATCTATTCCATAGATATATCTCTATTCCATAGATATATCTCTATTCCATAGAGATATATATATATATTCCATAGAGATATATATATATTCCATATATATTCCATAGAGATATATATATATTCCATATATATATATATTCCATAGAGATATATATATTCCATAGATATATATATATATTCCATAGATATATATATATTCCATATATATACACACGCACACACACACACACTACAATAAGGAGATACATATATATATGTCTGTAATCTTTGGTTCATGGCAAATGAATTGTTTACATGTTAATTTTTAATTATGTACTTCTTTCTGTGGGGCTTGTTTTTTTTTGCTGGTGTTTTCCATATCTAGCTATTAGTGAGAATGACCATCCAGAGAATTTTTGCATTTCTTCCACACTTCCCAAGGGTATCCCAAGGGTCAACTTTTATATTACTCCCTCAGCTAGAGATTTCTGACCTTCTCAGGTACTGCAAATTTGTACTCCAAACCAAAATGACATAGGTTCATTTGACTGCTGAGACACTTTTTCCTAGACACTGGACAAATATGAGCTTCCATGTCAAATACTGGGTCAATGGGTGGATATTTAATGCCCACCTTTCACTGAAGCTTCAAATTACTATGATCCGGACTTTATTGAAGGAGTTTTTCATAAAAAGCTCTGAATATCTGCCTTGGACAGTCCATACATAAGTATTAAAATCCAAGCCCCATGGCTATTTCCAGGTGTAGTAACACTCCATCTCCATTACCAAGACTACCAAAGCATCCACTCCATGCTTATTAAGTTTCATTCCTTAAAAAAAAGTATATATATCTATCTATACACACACACACACACACTCTAGGATATATATATTATATTACATATGTTACATTATATATATTAGATATATATATACACACAGTAGGATATATATATATAAAGAGGATATATTCATAAAAAGATTATCTTTAAGATCTCTTTAATAATAGCCATCCATTTCTCTATAATCTGTGATATTTTCTTGGCTCTGTCTTCCAGTTTCCTAAGTTTCTGCCTAGTAATAACCTACCATTTGAGATATATATATATATCCCTGTGTGTGCGTGTGTGTGTGTGTGTGTGTGTGTATGCATATACATATTTTTTTAAGGAATGAAACTCAGTAAGCATGGAGTGGATGCTTTGGTAGTTTTGGTAACGGAGGTGGAGTGCTACTACACCTGGAAATAGCCATGGGGCTTGCATTTTAATACCTATGTATGGACTTCCCAAGGCAAATATTCAGAGCTCTTTATGAAAAACTCCTTCAGTAAAGTCCGGATCATAGTAAATTGAAGCTTCAGTGAAAGGTGGGCATCAAATATCCACCCATTGACCCAGCATTTGATATGGAAGCTCATATTTGTCTAGTGTCTAGGAAAAAGTCTCTAAGCAATCAAATGAACCTATGTCATTTTGGTTTGGAGTACAAATTTGTAGTACCCGAGAAGGTCAGAACCCTCCAACTGAGAGAGTAATATAAAAGTTGACCCTTGGGATACCCTTGGGAGGCATAGAATTAATGTAAAATTTCTCTGGATGGTCATTCTCACTACAAGCTAAGTATGGAAAACACCAGCAAGAAAAGCAAGCCCCACAGAAAGAAGTACATAATTAAAAATTAACATGTAAACAATTCATTTGCCACGAACCAAAGATTACGGACACAATAAAAAGGAAAATTATCACTGTAATTATTTGAATGAATAAATAATCTGAAGCAGACTATAATGGTAATATGGAAAATGATAAAAATGTTGTAAGAAATTAACATGTAACAGAACAACAGACAGTGAAAAAACAGAATTCTTGAAATAATTATAATAAGTTAAATTACAAAGACAATGGAAATCAATTGGTAGGTTATTACTAGGCAGAAACTTAGGAAATTGGAAGATAGAGCCAAGAAAATATCACAGATTATAGACAAATGGATGGCTATTATTAAAGAGAGATTAAAGTTAATCTCTTTATGAAGAAAGCAGTAGAATTACTAATACACCTCTGTTAGGAATTCCAAAAAGATAGGATAGAATGAAGGGAGAAGTGACAGTAATTGAAGAGAAAATGCCTATGAATTTTCAAAATTGATCAAAGGTGTACATCCTCAAATTGAAGAAAAAACCAAAATCTCAATCAACATAAATAATTCAGTATATGTGCAGTGAAGAAACACTGCAGAACACTAAGAATATCTTTAAAAGAGAAATTTTCTAAGTAAAGAGAATAGTGACAGATGAGAAGTGGGTCTAAAACCAATTCCTTAGGAACTTTAGCAATTACAGAACGCAAATTAAGCATATGAAAATATTTTAGAAATTAATATGTAAATACATTTGTTCCTATGTAGTTTTGCTACTCACTGCAGGCAAGTGGACAAAGAAAAAAACTCAAACTACCTAAAGAAAATTTTTTACCTCTAGGGCACATGCCCAATATATCTAACATGAGGATTACAGCTAATCTGCTTCTTGATATGTTAGTTTGATCTTGGGACCCTTTGTCTCTCCCTATTACAACGCAGATCAAATCAAAGATACTCAACCTTGGCTCCAGAGATTTCACTCAGTGTTAAGAAACATGATTATCTTAATTTTTAAGTTTGCTTTTATTCCATTAAACTGATGAGGTGTTAACTCTGTTAAGTGAAGAAAACAATTTTTTAGATTTATAGAACTGAGGTAGAAGGTGGAATGTGACTCTAGAGGAGGGGCTTGGACACTGGACTAAATTGAGCTAAAACAGGGACAGGATAGAAACACCTTTTCATAAGACACACCTGCTAATGTCATGTCAGTTTACTATTGCCATGGCAACATCCAGGAGTTACTGCCCCTTTCCATGACAACGACCTGACAACCTAGAAGTTACCAGCCCTTTTCTAGAAATTTCTGCATAATCTGCCCCTTAATTTGCACATAATTAAAAGTTGGTATAAATACAACTGCAGAACTGCCTCTGAGTGCTACACTTAGCACACTGCCTGTGGGGTAACCCTGCTCCATAAGGAGCAGGACCTCTGCTGCTGCTGTGCACTGCCCTCTCAATAAAAATTGCTGTCCAACACCACTGGCTCCTCCTTGCATTCTTTTCTGGGCGAAGTCAAGAATCCTCCCAGGCTACGCCCCAATTTTGGGGCTCGCCTGCCCTGCATCAGAACTGAAAAAAAATCAAATGTGGTCTTTATAGTATTTTTTATTTTCTTTGCATGCTATTATATTTGGTAAATATTGCATGAGTAGTTGAAATTGATATATTATCTGAATCTTAGAAAATTTTATATGTAACTGTTAATGTTATCTCTTAAAATCATTTTTAGAATTCCCAATGACTTTTAAAATTTTATTTTGTTTCTGACCATAGACTGATTTATTTTTAATGTTTTTCACTTTAGTAATATTACCACCAATTTAGTTCACATAGACATTATTTTATATTCTTTTTCTATGCTCTCCTACTCATGACACATATATTTTATTGTCAACATTATTATTTTTAATATTTCTGTATCATCTGACTTTAGATATATCTCCATAAGTAGCAAATCTCTAAATTTGCTTTTGCAGTTCAATTTGAGATTCCTTGCTTTTAATTAAATCAATTTTAGTCATCTTATTATAAATATTATTGCCCTTGGTATAATGTTAATTTCATACTGTCATTTTTTTTTTAGGTTGCACATTTCTATTTTATCACCTGCCTAGTAAACCATGTTTTATTTACTCATATTAATAAAAACTAATCTTTGTAGTTGCCAGGTTTATTGAGCACTTTCTGTGTGCCAGATACTTTGCAAAGATTTTCTCTTTTAAGCCTTATATCCACCTGTGAGGAAAGTGCTATTATTGTCTCTGATGCATGGGCAAGGTGACTAAGCCTGAGAAAAATAGGCAGCTCCCCTAAGATCACAACAAATATAGAAAGCAGAGTTGGATTCAAACAAGTGTCAGACTCCAGAGCCAGTGTTCTTAACTGGGAGGCTACGCTCCCCCATATATTAATGCAATTAATTTTTATAATAACTCTGTGAGATGTTATTACGATATTTTACAGATGAAGAAAATGGTGCCCAGAGAGGTTAAGGACATTGCTCAATTTCACAAAGCTAGTGAGCAGTAGGCCTGGGAATCTAGTCCCTGAGGGGTGACTGGGAAACTTGGAGGTTCAGTGTTTCCTTAGGAAATGATTGGGAAGGTGGATGTTTTAATTGTTTAGTAATTTACCAAGAGACAATGAAGCATAGTGGTGAAGAATCCAATACTGAGGCTAGACAAGTTCTGAGTTTGAATCCCAGTTAGGCCACTTCCTTGCCTGGTATCTTTGGACAAGTTGCCAAACTACTGAACCCTAAGTTCTTCATCTGTAAAGTGAGAATAAAAATAGCAATACCTAGCTGACTGGACTGTTGTGAGGATTAAATAGGATAATGTATTTAAATTGCCTAGAACACAGCCACCAGCATAGAGAAAGTGCTATAAATGTTAATTCTGAAAAAGAATAGAAGCGGGATCCTCCCCTCAGGCAGGCATTTTCCGCACTCCTGCATCTTCCACATCACCTATCCTCTATTGATTGCTTCCCTCTGGCGAATCTCTTCTACTCAAGAAAAGCTTTGGTTCTTGCTCAGATTTAAGATCCTGAGAATGCACAGGATATTGGTGAGACTTCATAGGTATTTGATTATAAAGTACTTGGTATTTGATACTAAGTATTGGTATCAAATTCTCTTCATAAGTATTTGATTTAAATGTGTTCTTCGTTTATTTATTATTTCTTTACCTCTAAGCTTTTTGTCCCTGGATTCTGCAGGTTTTTCTTTATGAGTGTTTATTTAGCTTTAGATTTTGTATATTTAAAGACAATATCTCAGTAACTTTTATTTTTCCTGAAAATGTGTGTAGTTTTTAACTGTGCTAATATTAAAACCTGAACCTTAAAAAAATTTATTTAGCTCAGGAGTTTGCTATCTGCCTTCTTCTTTGAATAATACTGCATTTTTATTCATAACTTTAGTTTGGATCTTGAATCTCGGAAGAATTCTAATCAGTTGAGCTTTCTGCTTATGGAAAGAATTTCAGCAATACCTCAGAATAAGGGAGGGGCAATGCTGCGTCCATGGATGGATTACCTTGGCCTTCTCAGAGGATGGTTTAGATATTTCTAGAAAAACAGCAGTCTTTATTATAATCCACTAGCTATACTGACAAAATAGAATAACTTTGGTTAAAGTAATCAAGTGAGAGGAAATACGGTGTAGTGGAGAGAACACTGCTTGGGGTGGGGGTTAGGGAAATTCACTTTACCTGAAACTGATGCCAACATGACCATTTGTGGATGACTTTGGACAAGTCCGCCCAACTTCTGCAGGCTTTATTTTGTTCATGTTGCATGTTAGTACAGCTTCCACCTCTTCTAATTCTATAGTTGTATCTTATTGGGAGATCTAATTACTCTAGATTAAATTTTATGTTCTAAAATTTTAAATCATTCAATTAATATGAGGAATGGATGCTACTTTGAAGACTTTGGAATCAAAAGGAATATATTTTTTCTGTTCTAATACTTGAAGAGATTTCATGTGGAAGAGGGTAAAGAATTATTCAAAGCTTTCCTCAAAAACAAAAACAGAACTGTTGTTTGGAAGTTATAGCAATCCTAATTTCATGTTAATTTTATAAACCCTTTCACAATAGAGCTGTACATAAATTCTCTGCTTCTGAGGACACTTGAGAAGAGACCGAATCTCTTGTGAGATGGGTGAAGTGGATCTGACGCTGGGCTTTAGATCAGCGGTTTCTAAGCCTTGAAGATGCATGTCCTGTCAGACACTCACTGGGAGAGAAAAATTGAGGCAAGGGAAAAATTGGTGACAAGAAAGAAGAACAAATATATAGAGAGATCAGGGACATTTAAGAGTACTCTTTTCAGCCTTTTGTGGAAAAATACTGTGTTCCTGTTGCACATTAATTACTTATTAATTAAATATATTTAATGAGTGCCTAATTTACAAATAACAGCTTATAAATGTGCCTAAAGCTTACACTGTTGTGGGGAAAGGCAGATGATAAACTGAACAAATAGTAACACAGAATGTTAACTGGTCATAAGTGGAATGAGAAAAAAAATAAAACAACGTGAGGAAGTGAAAGATCAGCAGTGCTACAGCCGGGGGATTTAATTGTAAGTTGGGTGATTCTGGAAGACCTCAGTGAGAAGGTGAACATTTAGGAAATGCTGGAAAGCAGTGAGGAAGTGAACTACACATGCATTTGGGGGAAGAGCATTCCAAACGAAGGGAACATCCACTGCAAATGTCCTGAGGGGCACTGCTTTGTTCTGGAAAAAACAAAAGGTCAGCATGGCTGCAGTAAAGGGAGCCACGGTGAGAGTTGCAAAGGATGGTGTCAGAGAAGTGACAAAGGACCGGGCCATGTGGGGACTTATGTGCCCTTGTAAGGATTTGGGCTTTTACTCTGATGGATTTTGAACAAGGAGGTGACTGGACCTAACTTCTTTTTCAATAGGATCACTTTGGTTGATGTCTGTTGAATACACTGTAGGGAACAAGAGCAGAAGCAGGGAGGCCAGGTAGGAAGCGGTTTTGGTGATCCAGGTGAATGATGACGGTGGTTTGGATCACAGTGAGAGCAGTGACAGTAAACATAAGTGGTCAGATGCCTGACACATTTTGAAGATGGAATTAACAGACTGTATGTTGGTCTCAGAGAAACAGAAGCATCAACAACGACCAAGACAGAAAATAGCACAGGTTAGGCAAGTATTGTAGGGGTAGGGGTTGGGGGAGGAAGTTTACTTCCGGGCATTTTAAGTTTGGGGTGTTTATTAGTCATGGAGGAGTCTGAAAAAGAGTAGCTGGCCAGGCATAATGTCTCATGCCTGTAATCTCAGCACTTTGGGAGACTGAGGCAGGAGGATCACTTGAGCTCAGGTGTTTGAGACAAGCCTAGGCAAGACAGTGAGACCCCATCTGTACAAAAAATAGAAAAAAATTAACCTGGCATGGTGATATGCGCTTGTAGTTCCAGCTACTCAGGAGGCTGGAGTGGGAGGGTTGCTTGAGCCTGGGAGGTCAAGAGTGCAGTGAGCTGTCATTGTACCACTGCACTCCAGCCTGGGCAGGACAGTGAGACCCTGTCTGCACAAAAAATAGAAAAAAATTAGCCTGGCATGGTGATATGTGCTTGTAGTTCCAGCTACTCAGGAGGCTGGAGTGGGAGGGTTGCTTGAGCCTGGGAGGTCAAGGATGCAGTAAGCTGTCATTGCACCAGTGAGACCCTGTCTGAAAAAAAAAAAAAGTAGCCAATGAGACAAGTGGAAAAAGTAAAAAAAAGTAGCAGAGGAAGCTGTGTCTGAGGACTGAGAATTGACTATGACTATTCATTAGTGAGCTTAACATAGTAAAAATGTGGTATTTTAATCTTACGGGACCACCATTGTTATATGTGGTCTGGTGTTGGCGAAATGTCCTTATGTGCCACATGACTTTATATACTGAAATGTGGTTTAAGACGATAAGAAATTAACTTTAAAATTCACTTAACTTGAAAAATCTAATATTTTTACAGTAATTTTCTTTTTTTTTCATTATACTTTAAGTTCTAGGGTACATGTATACAACGTGCAGGTTTGTTACATATGTATACATGTGCCATGTTGGTGTGCTGCACCCATTAACTCGTCATTTACATTAGGTATATCTCCTAATGCTATCCCTCTCCACTCCCCCCACCCCACGACAGGCCCCTGTGTGTCATGTTCCCCACCCTGTGTCCAGTTGTTCTCATTGTTCAATTCCCACCTATGAGTGAGAATTATGCGGTGTTTGGTTTTCTGTCCTTGTGATAGTTTGCTCAGAATGATGGTTTTTACAGTAATTTTCAATGCTCCATATCCTTTTCCCTGCATCTTTCCCTATCTCAGCCCTAGAGGAAGATCTATTCATGACAAGGGAGAATAATTAACACTGTAAATACTTGTTTGCATGATGTGTGACCAAACCAATGAGAAAGCCAAGAGTGCCTTGAATTCATCTCCTATTATATTTTACGGAATGATCCATTAGATAAGTTATGCATTTTTATGTGATACCTATCACCATAGTGCAGAATTTTATTATTATAAAGAGCCATATTTAACAATGAAAATATAAACAATATGGATTTATAATTTTCCTAATGAACTTTCTTAACTTGGGGTTAACTTAATTACATTAACCTTCTTAATTCTCAAGGATTCATGAATTTGTCAAAGAGACTAACGTGCCAATATTCCAGTTTATTCTGTGGAAGAATATCCTTATTTGGTCAAGAGAAGAGGTAAATTAAAAAAAAATTCTTTAAAAAAGATTTCTGGCCTTAAAAACAGAAACTCCTGAGACTTTAATGAGAAAGCACCTCGTGTTGGTGGGGATATTTTAGTGAAGCTCCCAACAGAATGCCTGGGGCTTCTTTCTTTTCACTGACAAGAGTCTGTGAATATCACAGATGATGGTAGGCCTCTGACACACAGAACACAAAGACCAAATTGTATGGTAAATTTTAGATTATTGTATTTTATATAGGGAGTTCTTGTTCTGTGTTTAGAGGATGATCAGACATCCCTAAGGTACCACTTTGTCTTATGTTCTATATAGTTTTTTGTTTCTGTCATACCGTCCTTGACTTTTCTTGTTCTGCCTCCTCTGATGACTTTCAGTCAATCAAATGATGCATATTTATTGATGATCTTCCATACTTGCATGTTTTCTGTCACCTGTCTAATCATTAGGCAGTAGGACTGACCAAAGGAAAAAAAAAATAGGACTGGAGAAAATGGATGGAAATGGGGACTGGAAGAAAATAAATAAATCCTGGAATAAACTAATGGAATAAACTAATACACCCGAGGAATATAGGATCTGATTTCTACATCACAAGAGGTGAGGAAATATCAGTGAGATGTGGTGCTGAGACCTGAGAGCAGCAACAAGCATTTGTTTATGGCACGGTGCTAAACAGATGCTGTGGAGGCGACATGGATGAATAAAATAAAATCTGCCCTTAAGAAGTCGAGCATCTTGAACACACTAGGTGGTATGTGAAAAGTAGAATTAAAGTATCAAGTGGCTCCCTAATAAAAGTACAGTAAGGCCGGGCGCGGTGGCTCACGCCTGTAATCCCAGCACTTTGGGAGGCCGAGGAGGGCGGATCACGAGGTCAGGAGATCGAGACCATCCTGGCTAACACGGTGAAACCCCGTTTCTACTGAAAATACAAAAAATTAGCCGGGCGTGGTGGCGGGCGCCAGCTACTCGGGAGGCTGAGGCAGGAGAATGGCGTGAACCCGGGAGGCGGAGCTTGCAGTGAGCCGAGATCGCGCCACTGCACTCCAGCCTGGGCGACAGAGCGAGACTCCGTCTCAAAAAAAAAAAAAAAAAAAAAGTATAGTAATTAGGGAATAGCTATTGCACGAACTGTGTGTAATCTACAGCCAAAATATTAGTAAAATTTGAATCCAAAATTTTACTTTATGAAATGCCCCCTTGTTGAAGATTTTATTGCCATTCATTTTTTTTAAAATATCTCCAATCATCCAAACTGAAGAAAATGAGCTTTCATTTCAGTCTGGGTAAGTGAAGAAGTGAAGCAATAGCCATCTCCCACCTCTGCTCCTGGGCCTGTGTGCTGGTAGCACCCTCCAATCCCATTCTGCTGGAGGAGAGGTTAAGAAACAGCCCAGAACCAACCCAAATGTCCATCAATGATAGACTGGATTAAGAAAATGTGGCACATATACACCATGGAATTCTATGTAGCCATAAAAAAGGATGAGTTCATGTCCTTTGTAGGGACATGGATGAAGCTGGAAACCATCATTATTAGAAAACTATCGCAAGGACAAAAAACCAAACACTGCATGTTCTCACTCATAGGTGGGAATTGAACAATGAGAACACTTGGACACAGGAAGGGGAACATCACACACTGGGGCCTGTCATGGGGTGGGGGAAGTGGGGAGGGATAGCATTAGGAAATATATCTAATGTAAACGACGAGTTAATGGGTGCAGCACACCAACATGGCACATGTATACATATGTAACAAACCTGCATGTTCTGCACATGTACCCTAGAACTCAATGTATAATTAAAAAAAAAAAAAAAGAAAAAGAAACAGCCCAAGGTCAGCTTTCAGAGCATTTTAGTTAGCTGTGAAAACTAGCATCTTTCCTTGCCTGGGAGACCAGTGATAGAAGCGACCTCCTGGAACTCTTAAATCTCTGTCAGGATATTTGCCTGCCTGAACTTGATAGGAGGGAATAAAAATTGTGCTTCCTTTCAGGCTAATTGACATGTTCACTGGGTCCCCATGTATGCTTTTCTGTAATCCACCTCCAAGCACAGAGATTGAATCTGAAACCTGGAAATCAACTTGGATATTCGTAACGAAGTTGACATAAGCAATGTCAGATAGGCAGAAGTAAGCACTACTAAGCACCGAAATCAAATCACTGTTCAATCACCTGCAATAGTTGGTCAGGAAGCATTTATTTACTATTTTTACAGACCATTACATTTCCAAATGCTTCCACAGAATTCATTCCAATTAGAGCAAATTATTCACTTGGTAGATGTTAGCTTTGATCCTGAATAACCTTTACATTATGTTCATTTTTTTCCTTTGCCAACGATTAGCCTACTCTATAAATCTAGGTGTTACTGGAAAGGGGTCCTGATCCAGACCCCAAGAAGAGGGTTCTTGGGTCTTGCACAATAAAGAATTCAGAGTAGGTCCACAGAGTAAGGTGAAAGCAAGTTTATTAAGAAAGTGAAGGAATAAAAGAATGGCTACTCCATAGACAGAACAGCGGCATGGGCTGCTGCTCTGTATACTTGTTGTTATTTCTTGATTATATATTAAACAAGGGGTGGATTATTCATGAGTTTTCTAAGAAAGGGGTGGGGAGCTCCCCCAACTGAGGGTTCCTCCCATGTTTCTAGATCATCTAGGGTAACATCCAGACATTGCCATGGTATTTGTAAACTGTCATGGGCTGGTGGGAGAGTCTTTTAGCCTGTTGATGCATTATAATTAGCATAGAATGAGCAGTGAGGATTACCACAGGTCACTTTCATTGCTCTCTTGGTTTTGGCCAGCTTCTTTGCTGCATTCTCTTTTATCAGTAGGGTCTTTGTGACCTGTATCTTGCTTTCTCATCCTGTGACTAAGAATGCCTCACCCCCTGGGAATGCAGCCCAGCAGGTCTCAGCCTCATTTTATCCAGCCCCTGTTCAACCTTGAGCCAGTCCAGTTCCAATGCCTCTGACACAGGTAGAAAGAAGAAACACCGAAACAAATTTGTACAAGTGCAGCATTTGTGTAGCATTTCTTTTGATGTGTGTTTTGTGCAGATGAAACAAACATTAAAATTTTCAGAGATTTCTTTTATAACAGTAAATGTGTCCTATTTGTTTCCAGCTCTTTGACATTGGACAAATTTTTATTGTTGCTTGATCATCAGGGTGAGTAATCTGCTTTTCTGATTGGAGCTTGGATTTAATCACACTTCAAAAAATTATTTCATCTCAATGAATAATAGGAAGAACTTCTGCAATATTTCATAAAGCTGGCATTAGTGTGATGACTTTAGCCTAATTACAAAGCTGTGTAATAAAATTTTACAATTCAAGGTGAGACTATCATGATAAAGGCTAATCATAATGAATGCTTGTGGGTGCTACTTGCTTTCTTCCTCTAAGTAATACACACCACTAAATTCAATGGAATTCAGGCAGAATCACTGGTTCCCACCCTTCTTGTTCATCATTCATTTTCTGTATTTTTCTTCATCTGTGGTTTGCTGTAGTTTTTTCAGCTAGTTCTGACCTTGGAGTGTTTTTTTTTTCTTTCTGGATAACAGTGTGGACAAGCATCTGCTTCTGCAGTTGCTAATGCCAAGGTTATTTGCCAAGAACAGAACACAGGTTTCTCAACATTTTGCAAGTAAATGACTCTTAAACAAATTCATGAGAATGAGAATATTTTGCAGTTAAAAAATAATAAAAAATATGTTCACCATTTGTGGAGATGAAAGATGTTCATAAATTATACATTTGCTTCTCGAACGGGCACAAAATCTCTACCTGTCTCACATCTCACTTTCCTTAACTCAGGTGTCTGCGTTTGATCTCGTGAAAGTTTCAGAATGGGCCTGGCGCGGTGGCTCATGCCTGCAATCCCAGCACTTTGGGAGGCCAAGGTGGGCGGATCACCTGAGGTCAGGAGTTGGAGACCAGCCTGACCAACATGGAGAAACCCCGTCTCTACTAAAAATACAAAATTAGCCGGGCGTGGTGACGCATGCCTGTAATCCCAGCTACTCGGGAGGCTGAGGCAGGATAATTGCTTGAACCCGGGAGGCGGAGGTTGCGGTGAGCCGAGGTCGTGCCATTGCACTCCAGTCCAGCCTGGACAACAAGAGTGAAACTCCGTCTCAAAAAAAAAAGTTTCAGAATGATGGCCAAAACAACATTTCTCATTTAGCATAGTAACACAGATCTTCGTGGGAGGTAAGCAGCAGCTTATTTTTTCATAGTTCTTAATTTTAATGCATCTTTTAAGTACATCGGCCTTCAGGGTTATCCGTATTTTGTACTGATGTGGGTACTATTGGGTGTGACATGTTTCAGGAAGATAGGTAAGGACTTGGCCCATATTTTCAGAAGAAAAAAAGTCAACATTATGGGCAGCCAATGCTTAAATCTCCACTTCCCATTTTTAAGAAGTGTCTATGGCCACCCCTCTTTCCCATACAGATTCTGAAAGATTGAAGGAGGTTGGCACAGGGGATAAGAAGTCCCAGCAGGCTATTTCTTTCATGATTTATTTTTTTACTTCCTGACATCTCTGATGCTTATTTTGACCTGATATCACCTGTGAAATGTTGTTAGGGGACACAGGTGTGCTCACTATTGTGCTTTGTGTCCTCCCTGCCCACGCATCTCCAGAGAGGGTTATGCAAACCAAATACAGTTATTTTATACTTTTCAATTCCAGTGAAGTCATGAGATGCTTTGTTAGAAATGCTTCTAGGAAAAAAATAAAATTAACCCAGATTAAATTTTAGTTATCATTGCCAACTTCTCATCTTTTGTAACTTCATTAGGAAATTTTATGAAAAGCTTCTTACCGACCTCTTTATAAACATTTTTTGCCTTTTCCACAAAATGTTGTCTTAAAATTTATATAGAATAAAAATCTTAACTGGCTTTAACATGGTGATTATGAATGGATTTTGCATACTCTTAAAATGAGTTCTTCATAAACCAATTAACTAATTGTAGGTTAATTTGATAACCCAACTGGGTTATCAAAGAAGTTTCCCTTATGTGGACATAGTTTTTGTACTGAATGTATCTATATAAGCTACTTTAAATCATTTCTGAATTTCTTATTGTTAAGAAATAAGTGACATTTGGCTGGGTACAGTGGCTCACACTTATAATTCCAGCACTTTGGGAAGCCGATGCAGGCGGATCACTTGAGGTCAGGAGTTTGAGACCAGCCTGGCCAACATGGTGCAACCCTGTCTCTGTTAAAAATACAAAAAAATTAGCCGAGTGTGATGGCAGGCACCTGTAATCCCAGCTACTTGAGAGGCTGAGGCAGAAGAGTCCCTCGAACCCAGGGGGCAGAGCTGAGATCTCGCCACTTCACTTCAGTCTGGATGACAGAGTGAGACTCTGACTCAAACAAACAAACAATCACACAAAAAGAAATAAATAAGTGACATTTCCCCCACCTAAAATCATGGCATCCTTTTTAGTTAGCCATGTGGATTCCATGATACTGAACTTGACATGAAAAATCTTGATAGTCAAAAAAATCATTGCAACTATTAAACAAATATCTATTTTTCCCAATTCCTGAATAAAATATTCAAACTATACCAGTTAATTTTAGTAAACTCACATTAGGACAAAATATCATAAGAAAAATTTTGAAGCATATCCAACATTTTGACAGATTAACACCAAACCATATCTTACACAAATGAATCAATTTTATTTGTTTGAATTCTACAGAACACGAGTTTCTACATTTAGGGATGCTTTGAAACAGAATTCTTTTCATTGAACTGGTTGAATCAATGTCATACAGTGAGTTCTGTGCATGTGCCCTGTGGGACTTAGACTTGGAAAAATCCTAATTTGGGAATAAGAGGTATGTGTGAAGGGGATGAGTGCTAGTTTCTAGCGACTGGAGGTTTCCATACACAGAGAAAATATTAACAGTAACTTAAGTTTTCCATTGTATCCATTTGGTGCAAAAGTAATTGTGGTCTTTGTCATTACTTTCAATGTCAAAGACTACAATGACTTTTGCAAGAACTTAATAATGTATTAGCCCTGAGTTTTCTTTCATAAAGTGTTGTTCTGTGATAAATACAATACAGTTGCATTTAAAAGTTTTTGGAAAGTGAAAAAAAAGGAAAAGAATCACTCATAATTGTACTCCTTTGATGTTAACCACTGTTAACATTTTATTGCATTTCCTTCCATTATTTTTCATTTTCCATTATTTTATGCTCTAAATAACTTCTTCAGCAGAGCTTTTTCAAGCAGGTATTAGCAAAGATCTATGGAGTACTCAATACACCAAATAGTTTACATGCATTACCCCCTTACGTTGGCACAAATGCACCCGTGAGGTGGGTACTATTTATAATTTCTCTTCTATAGACAAGAAAATTAGGAAAGGTTTAGAAAGGTTAATTAATTTGTCCAAAGTCATTCGACTAGTAAATTGCAATGCGTGGCCTTGAATCCAGGACCTAACTTCAGAGCTCTTAATTTGAATGTTATGTTATAATGTATCTCTGGAAAGCTTATATAGAGTGCAAATAAAATTATGTGGCTATTTCCAAGAAAAAAATGTTACCACTATTTTTGGTTAAAGATATGATTTGTGGGCTTCATGCTACTTTATGTAGATTGATTATATTATTCAAATGTATTGATCTAATTCTTATCAGAATTAATGTTTAGCAATATCCTTAAGGAATATTTGGCTTTGTAACTAAGTTAAAAAATGTTTAACTGGATTGCTTTACCTTTAGTTTGACTACATTTTATCTTCCCCTGGATAGTTCCTCAATCCTTCCTTTTCATTGACTGCGGATACCTCGCTTAAACAATGAATGTATTTAATGATGCAAAGATACTTGCATCCTTTGAATGTTTCCTCTTTGATCTTTAAAAAAACAGATTGAGGCAAAATCAGTTATGTTCTTTTTAAAAATTCATTTCTACAAGTATAAAGCTGCAATAGTGCTTAAGATTGATTGTATAGAAAATGGGAATTGGAGAAAGGATGAGTGAATTGCAGTGAAAAAGGTGTAACTTACAAAAAAGTCCATCTGAATTTTTATTGCCCAGTTACAAGGGCATAAATCATTATTTGATTAAGAATATGATTGTTCTATGTGTAGCTATCTTTTTTATATTCAGAGCTAGGCATTGGCAGCTGCCCAAGCAAACCCTTCAGTACTTATTTGCACAAATTGGAATGCTGAAAACTAGGAGAGTTGTCCAAAGAAAGCTAAATTTGAGATGGTTAAGCTGCTGCACACAGCCTAGAGGAGGTTTTTACTTTCACTTATAATTTTATTTATTATGTAGAGTAAAGAGCAATAACTGCAAACATTTGCCAAGTTGACATATTATAATGTACTTCTGGTTCCTCAAAGTGACAAGAACAGGGGAGAATTCCTCACATGGAGAAAAATATTGGAAGCCCTCTCCTTGAAGTTAGCTATAATTAGGGATGGAGAGTTTGAGCCAAGATGGCCGAATAGGAACAGCTCCGGTCTACAGCTCCCAGCGTGAGTGACGCAGAAGACGGGTGATTTCTGCATTTCCATCTGAGGTACCGGGTTCATCTCACTAGGGAGTGCCAGACAGTGGGCGCAGGCCAGTGGGTGCACGCACCGTGCGCGAGCCGAAGCAGGGCTAGGCATTGCCTCACTTGGGAAGCACAAGGGGTCAGGGAGTTCCCTTTCTGAGTCAAAGAAAGGGGTGACGGACGCACCTGGAAAATCGGGTCACTCCCACCCGAATATTGCGCTTTTCAGAACAGCTTAAAAAACGGCGCACCACGAGATTATATCCCACACCTGGCTCAGAGGGTCCTACGCCCACAGAATCTCGCTGATTGCTAGCACAGCAGTCTGAGATCAAACTGCAAGGTGGCAGCGAGGCTGGGGGAGGGGCGCCCGCCATTGCCCAGGCTTGCTTAGGTAAACAAAGCAGCCAGGAAGCTCGAACTGGGTGGAGCCCACCACAGCTCAAGGAGGCCTGCCTGCCTCTGTAGGCTCCACCTCTGGGGGCAGGGCACAGACAAACAAAAAGACAGCAGTAACCTCTGCAGACTTAAATGTCCCTGTCTGACAGCTTTGAAGAGAGCAGTGGTTCTCCCAGCATGCAGCTGGAGATCTGAGAACGGGCAGACTGCCTCCTCAAGTGGGTCCCTGACCCCTGATCCCCGAGCAGTGTAACTGGGAGGCACCCCCCAGCAGGGGCACACTGACACCTCACACGGCAGGTTATTCCAACAGACCTGCAGCTGAGGGTCCTGTCTGTTAGAAGGAAAACTAACAAACAGAAAGGACATCCACACTGAAAACCCATCTGTACATCACCATCATCAAAGACCAAAAGTAGATAAAACCACAAAGATGGGGAAAAAACAGAACAGAAAAACTGGAAACTCTAAAACGCAGAGTGCCTCTCCTCCTCCAAAGGAACGCAGTTCCTCACCAGCAACGGAACAAAGCTGGATGGAGAATGACTTTGATGAGCTGAGAGAAGAAGGCTTCAGATGATCAAATTACTCTGAGCTATGGGAGGACATTCAAACCAAAGGCAAAGAAGTTGAAAACTTTGAAAAAAATTTAGAAGAATGTATAACTAGACTAATCAATACAGAGAAGTGCTTAAAGGAGCTGATGGAGCTGAAAACCAAGGCTCGAGAACTACGTGAAGAATGCAGAAGCCTCAGGAGCCGATGCGATCAACTGGAAGAAAGGGTATCAGCAATGGAAGATGAAATGAATGAAATGAAGCGAGAAGGGAAGTTTAGAGAAAAAAGAATAAAAAGAAATGAGCAAAGCCTCCAAGAAATATGGGACTATGTGAAAAGACCAAATCTACGTCTGATTGGTGTACCTGAAAGTGATGGGGAGAATGGAACCAAGTTGGAAAACACCCTGCAGGATATTATCCAGGAGAACTTCCCCAATCTAGCAAGGCAGGCCAATGTTCAGATTCAGGAAATACAGAGAACGCCACAAAGATACTCCTCGAGAAGAGCAACTCCAAGACACATAATTGTCAGATTCACCAAAGTTGAAATGAAGGAAAAAATGTTAAGGGCAGCCAGAGAGAAAGGTCGGGTTACCCTCAAAGGGAAGCCCATCAGACTAACAGCGGATCTCTCAGCAGAAACCCTACAAGCCAGAAGAGAGTGGGGGCCAATATTCAACATTCTTAAAGAAAAGAATTTTCAACCCAGAACTTCATATCCAGCCAAACTAAGCTTCATAAGTGAAGGAGAAATAAAATACTTTACAGACAAGCAAATGCTGAGAGATTTTGTCACCACCAGGCCTGCCCTAAAAGAGCTCCTGAAGGAAGTGCTAAACATGGAAAGGAACAACCAGTACCAGCCGCTGCAAAATCATGCCAAAATGTAAAGACCATCGACACTAGGAAGAAACTGCATCAACTAACGAGCAAAATCACCAGCTAACATCATAATGACAGGATCAAATTCACATATAACAATATTAACTTTAAATGTAAATGGACTAAATTCTCCAATTAAAAGACACAGACTGGCAAATTGGATAAAGAGTCAAGACCCATCAGTTTGCTGTATTCAGGAAACCCATCTCACATGCAGAGACACACATAGGCTCAAAATAAAAGGATGGAGGAAGATCTACCAAGCAAATGGAAAACAAAAAAAGGCAGGGGTTGCAATCCTAGTCTCTGATAAAACAGACTTTAAACCAACAAAGATCAAAGGAGACAAAGAAGGCCATTACATAATGGTAAAGGGATCAATTCAACAAGAAGAACTAACTATCCTAAATATATATGCACCCAATACAAGAGCACCCAGATTCATAAAGCAAGTCCTGAGTGACCTACAAAGAGACTTAGACTCCCACACATTAATAATGGGAGACTTTAACACCCCACTGTCAACATTAGACAGATCAACGAGACAGAAAGTCAACAAGGATACCCAGGAATTGAACTCAGCTCTGCACCAAGTGGACCTAATAGACATCTACAGAACTTTCCACCCCAAATCAACAGAATATACATTTTTTTCAGCACCACACCACACCTATTCCAAAATTGACCACATACTTGGAAGTAAAGCTCTCCTCAGCAAATGTAAAAGAACAGAAATTATAACAAACTATCTCTCAGAGCACAGTGCAATCAAACTAGAACTCAGGATTAAGAATCTCACTCAAAGCCGCTCAACTACATGGAAACTGAACAACCTGCTCCTGAATGACTACTGGGTACATAACAAAATGAAGGCGGAAATAAAGATGTTCTTTGAAACCAATGAGAACAAAGACACAACATACCAGAATCTCTGGGATGCATTCAAAGCAGTGTGTAGAGGGAAATTTATAGCACTAAATGCCCACAAGAGAAAGCAGGAAAGATCCAAAATTGACACCCTAACATCACAATTAAAAGAACTAGAAAAGCAAGAGCAAACACATTCAAAAGCTAGCAGAAGGCAAGAAATAACTAAAATCAGAGCAGAACTGAAGGAAATAGAGACACAAAAAACCCTTCAAAAAATCAATGAATCCAGGAGCTGGTTTTTTGAAAGGATCAACAAAATTGATACACTGCTAGCAAGACTAATAAAGAAAAAAAGAGAGAAGAATCAAATAGACACAATAAAAAATGATAAAGGGGATATCACCACCGATCCCACAGAAATACAAACTACCATCAGGGAATACTACAAACACCTCTACGCAAATAAACTAGAAAATCTAGAAGAAATGGATGAATTCCTCGACACATACACTCTCCCAAGACTAAACCAGGAAGAAGTTGAATCTCTGAATAGACCAATAACAGGAGCTGAAATTGTGGCAATAATCAATAGTTTACCAACCAAAAAGAGTCCAGGACCAGATGGATTCACAGCCGAATTCTACCAGAGGTATAAGGAGGAACTGGTACCATTCCTTCTGAAACTATTCCAATCAATAGAAAAAGAGGGAATCCTCCCTAACTCATTTTATGAGGCCAGCATCATTCTGATACCAAAGCCGGGCAGAGACACAACAAAAAAAGAGAATTTTAGACCAATATCCTTGATGAACATTGATGCAAAAATCCTCAATAAAATACTGGCAAACCGAATCCAGCAGCACATCAAAAAGCTTATCCACCATGATCAAGTGGGCTTCATCCCTGGGATGCAAGGCTGGTTCAATATACGCAAATCAATAAATGTAATCCAGCATATAAACAGAGCCAAAGACAAAAACCACATGATTATCTCAATAGATGCAGAAAAAGCCTTTGACAACATTCAACAACCCTTCATGCTAAAAACTCTCAATAAATTAGGTAGTGATGGGACGTATCTCAAAATAATAAGAGCTGTCTATGACAAACCCACAGCCAATATCATACTGAATGGGCAAAAACTGGAAGCATTCCCTTTGAAAACTGGCACAAGACAGGGATGCCCTCTCTCACCACTCCTATTCAACATAGTGTTGGAAGTTCTGGCCAGGGCAATTAGGCAGGAGAAGGAAATAAAGGGTATTCAATTAGGAAAAGAGGAAGTCATATTGTCCCTGTTTGCAGATGACATGATTGTATATCTAGAAAACCCCATAGTCTCAGCCCAAAATCTCCTTAAGCTGATAAGCAACTTCAGCAAAGTCTCAGGATACAAAATCAATGTACAAAAATCACAAGCATTCTTATACACCAAAAACAGACAAACAGAGAGCCAAATCATGAGTGAACTCCCATTCACAATTGCTTCAGAGAGAATAAAATACCTAGGAATCCAACTTACAAGGGATGTGAAGGACCTCTTCAAGGAGAACTACAAACCACTGCTCAAGGAAATAAAAGAGGATACAAACAAATGGAAGAACATTCCATGCTCATGGGTAGGAAGAATCAATATCATGAAAATGGCCATACTGCCCAAGGTAATTTACAGATTCAGTGCCATCCCCATCAAGCTACCAATGACTTTCTTCACAGAATTGGAAAAAACTACTTTAAAGTTCATATGGAACCAAAAAAGAGCTCGCATCGCCAAGTCAATCCTAAGCCAAAAGAACAAAGCTGGAGGCATCACACTACCTGATTTCAAACTATACTACAAGGCTACAGTAACCAAAACAGCATGGTACTGCTACCAAAACAGAGATATAGATCAATGGAACAGAACAGAGCCCTCAGAAATAACGCCGCATATCTACAACTATCTGATCTTTGACAAACCTGAGAAAAACAAGCAATGGGGAAAGGATTCCCTATTTAATAAATGGTGCTGGGAAAACTGGCTAGCCATATATAGAAAGCTGAAACTGGATCCCTTCCTTACACCTTATAAAAAAATCAATTCAAGATGGATTAAAGATTTAAACGTTAGACCTAAAACCATAAAAACCCTAGAAGAAAACCTCAGCATTACCATTCAGGACATACGCATGGGCAAGGACTTCATGTCCAAAACACCAAAAGCAATGGCAACAAAAGACAAAATTGACAAATGGGATCTAATTAAACTAAAGAGCTTCTGCACAGCAAAAGAAACTACCATCAGAGTGTACAGGCAACCTACAAAATGGGAGAAAATTTTCGCAACGTACTCATCTGACAAAGGGCTAATATCCAGAATCTACAATGAACTCAAACAAATTTACAAGAAAAAAACAAACAACCCCATGAAAAAGTGGGCAAAGGACATGAACAGACACTTCTCAAAAGAAGACATTTATGCAGCCAAAAAACACAGGAAAAAATGCTCATCATCACTGGCCATCAGAGAAATGCAAATCAAAACCACAATGAGATACCATCTCACACCAGTTAGAATGGCAATCATTAAAAAGTCAGGAAACAACAGGTGCTGGAGAGGATGTGGAGAAATAGGAACACTTTTACACTGTTGGTGGGACTGTAAACTAGTTCAACCATTGTGGAAGTCAGTGTGGCCATTCCTCAGGGATCTAGAACTAGAAATACCATTTGACCCAGCCATCCCATTACTGGGTATATACCCAAAGGACTATAAATCATGCTGCTATAAAGACACATGCACACGTATGTTTATTGCGGCATTATTCACAATAGCAAAGACTTGGAACCAACCCAAATGTCCAACAATGATAGACTGGATTAAGAAAATGTGGCACATATACACCATGGAATACTATGCAGCCATAAAAAATGATGAGTTCATGTCCTTTGTAGGGACATGGATGAAATTGGAAATCATCATTCTCAGTAAACTATCGCAAGAACAAAAAACCAAACACCGCATATTCTCACTCATAGGTGGGAATTGAACAATGAGATCACATGGACACAGGAAGGGGAATATCACACTCTGGGGACTGTGGTGGGGTGGGGGGAGGGGGGAGGGATAGCATTGGGAGATATACCTAATGCTAGATGACGAGTTAGTGGGTGCAGCGCACCAGCATGGCACATGTATACATATGTAACTAACCTGCACAATGTGCACATGTACCCTAAAACTTAAAGTATAATAAAAAAATAAATTAAAAAAAATGGTAATAATTAGGGATGGAGAGCTAAAACTGAGATGATACTATACCATATATATTTTTGTGAGTTATGCAGGCATCACCATGTCATAGTGAATTAAGAAATAAAACTGGGTTAGGTACAATTAATACTTAGGATTATCTGGCTCTGCCACTAAGTAGAGAAAAAACTAACCTCTCTGGGTCTTAGTTTCCTCCTCTGAACATAATGAAAAGATAGAATTTGTTGATTTCTTTTGATATCATATTTATTGCATATTTGGTGGCCTCATAGCTCTTAGTAAGGTGTTGAGCACATAGAAGGCCATAAAATAGCTGCTGATTAAGTGACTGATGAATCAGATGAAGGGGAACATGGATTCAACAAGATAGTATGACAGAAAAAGGAATACTGTATGAGCTTTACATGGTTGGTGAATAAGGTGTAAATGGTATTGAGGAATAAAGGATTCTAAATTTCATATTTTATGGCCAATGCTTGATCTGAACATTTTTCTTGATTTCTGTCAAGACCTTTATGCCTGAAATGATGGTCTTCAGAGGAAAACTGAAACACAGAATTCTATAAAGTATACAGATAATGAGGTCTAAAGAGAATCTTTGCTTCAATGATTCTTAACATAACTAATAAGTTCTTCAACAGGTGCGTGTATGAGGGGAGAGGGTAGTGTCTTGGGATGAATTTCATTCCCTCCAAAAAAGATACACTGAAATTTAACCTCCACCACCTGTGAATATGATCCTATTTAGAAAAGGGATCTGTGTACATTTAGTCAAGTGAAGATGAGTGTGGACATTAATCCAATGTGACTGGCATCCTTATAAAAAGAGGGAAATTTGGACACAGATGCACACACAGAGGAAAACATGGAGAAGATGGAATCAGAGATTAAAATGATGCATCTGCAAGCCAACGAATGCCAAGCATTGGTGGCCATCACCAGAAGCTAGGAGAGAGGAGCAGATATTCCCTCAGAGCTCTCAGAAGAAACCAATCCTGTTGATGCCTTGATTTCAGACTTCAACCCCCAAATGTAAGGGAATACATTTCTGCTGTTTTAAGGCACCCAGTTTGTGGTGATTTGTTATGGCAGCCCTAAGGAACTAATACAAGCAGAAAACTTCTTATAAGTCATTTTGTCTTGGATGATGGACCAAAACCACATTCTGTTAATAGAAATGAGCTCAGGTAATAGAAAAAGAGCTCAGGTACTTTCCTTCCTAAATTGAGGGAGATAGAGTTGTGAGAAATCTCAGCATTGTGGCCTTGAGCTCAGCATTCTCAATGTTAGGAAAAGAGTCTTTATTTTCCCTTCTATATAGAAGATTTTCACAACAGCTCACAATCAACAATTTGTTCAAATGGCAAGATCTTCTGGTTTTTAGTCTTTTGGTGAAAAAAATGTTTAATTATTTGAATGTTAGAAGATATAAATCATGCCTAGTATTCTGAATTTGGGTATATATGTATGTGTGTGTTTATAGGGCAAACAATTACAAACATCAGGGAGCTATAAGGAAGCCTCCCAGGGTGGGTTAATAGCTTTCATACCAACTCTATGACACTACTTCTCCATTTTACCAATATGTAATGGCAGTTATGTGACATGTGCCCACTACCTCTTCCATTTTCACCTCCCCCCAGTCAAATCAGGGGGAGTCTTTGGAGGATGGAGTCTATCTAAATGGGTTAATAAAGATGTGAGAAGAATTAATATTCATTGGTTAACCAGGTGTTACATGCCTATATGCTGGGTCTGTGCCAGATTCTTTGAAGGGTTAAACAATATTGAGGCATAGTCCCTGTCTTTCAGGAGTTTAAAATGCAATATAAAGTAGGGATCAAGGGTGTATACCTGGAGTCAGGCTTTCCTGGCTTCAATCCTACCTTTACTCATATTCTCCCTAAAACACTGGGGAGATTACCTTCTCTCTGCTTTAGTTTTTCATTTGTAAAATAAAGGTAATAGGTACAAAGTTTCAGTTAGACAAGACCAATATGTTTTGAGATACTAGGGTATCTCAGTTAGAGGGTATTCAGTTAGACGGTATTCAGTTAGACAAGGCAAATAAGTTTTGCATACTAGGGTGACTGTACTCGATGATCATGTATTGTATGTTTCAAAATAACTAAGAAAGTAAATTTCAAATGTCTCACCACAAAAACATGATAAATGAGGTAATAGGACACATTAATTAGCTTGATTTAATCCTTCCACATTGTATACACTTATAAAATCATCACATTGCACCCATACATTTATACAATTAAAAATTCTGTTAATAAAAAATGGGGATGATGATAGTAACCATCTCATATCTCAAAGCAGCTGTTCATGTTTATATTAGACAGGACTCTCCAGAGAAATACAACCAATAGGATACATAGATATATCATATGTAATATAACTATATATTAAGAGGAAGAATATATATATAAAAGAGGAAAAATATATATATTTATGAATAGCTTTATAAATAAAGAGGTTATATTTATTATTTATTATGAGGAATCAGGCCACATGATTATGGAGGCTGACAAGCCCATATCTGCAGGAGCAGCTGCAGGCAGGAGACCCAGGGACAGTGATGCTGCAGTTCCAGTCCAGAAGCCACTGTTGTAAATGAAGTCTGTAGACACCTTGTTATAGAACCAGAAGGTGCCAACACTACAGAGGTAGAACTCTCTTTTACCTGGGGAGGCTGTTCTAATTTAGACCTTCAGATGATTGGATGAGGCCCACTGACTTAATGGAGGGCAATCTGATTTACTCAAAAGTCCACCCATTTAAATGTTAATATCATCCAAAGAAAACCTCAAAGAAACACCCAGAATAACGTTTGACCCACTATCTGGACACGCTGTGTCCCACCCAAGTTGACACAAAAAACTAAACATCACAATGTTAAATGTACAGTTTGAATTAATAATGCTTGATAACTATTGGATATTATTATGTTACTGGTATTTTACTTATAAAATTAGTTTGAGAATCATTACTAACCAACATAAAAAACAATTAGAGAAGACCCTTAGGAGCAAATGCTAAAAATCACGTGGTACAACACTGAAACATACAGAACTCATTGCATGCTAGACTTTACTATTTTAGTCTTGATAACTGAGAAATAACTAAGATCCTGAGCTAAGAAGAATGGCTTGCCAGTGAGTTGCATAGAGAAAGCAGTCTCTCCAATTAATTTTTTTCATCAACTGGATGAAAAAACTGGCATACCTCTTTTCTTAAAACTTTATATTTGAATGAATGTTTTTAAAAGGATTTTTGTGAATGTCACTTTCATTGCTTAAAAGTAAACAACAGTAGAATTTAAGCCACTAGATGTCAACTGTGGTGGGCAGAATAATGACCCCTAAAGATATTCACATCTGAATCTCCAGATCCTATGAATATGTTACCTTACCAGGCAATAAAAAACTTTGCAGATGTGATTAAAATCCTGAGATGGGGATCGTATTCTGGATTATCTAAGGGGACACTTAAATAATTGAATCACACAGTTCCTTAAGAGCAGAAAACCTTTCTCTGCTGTGGTCAGAGGGAGATAGGACTACAGAAAAATGGTTAGAGAGATGCAAAGTTGGTGGTTTGGAAGATGGAGCAAGGAGGTCATAAACTGAGAAATGTGGGTGGCCTGTAGATGCTGGAAAAGGCGAGGACGTGGATTGTCTCCTGAAGCCTCAGGGAAGGAATGCATCCCTGCTGTCATCTTGATTATAGCCTCACTGAGACCTGTGTCAGACTTCTGACCTACATAACTATAAATAATCAATGCGTGTTGTTTTAAGCCTCCACATTTGTGGTAATTTGTAACAGCAGCAATGGGAAGCTAATGCATCAGTTATTGAACATCACCAAAGCAAGATAGAAGAAAACATTTTTCAGTTCTTCTCTGTTTTCTTTAACTGTCTGTTTGATTTTTCCTTTGTGCCTTTAGTTTTATAAGAGGTGGGAGAGACCGTCCTCTTTTGCCCAAGATATGGTAACAAGGACTGAAAACACTCCCCTGCCTGATAAAATTTTAAAAGGCAAAACAAAATAAAAAATCAGACAATATATTAAAACTGTTTTCAAAACACTGGGCCTCAGGCATTGAAGAATAATGATCCTTGAAAGAAAAAAGTAAAGATCATCTTATCATTTCCCCAGTTTATGGCCCACTGGTTGCCACACAAGATGGGGGAATCCAAAGGAAGCTCATTAAACTCCCTGAGTTGAAGAGTTGCACCTGAGGGGCTGGGGAGACTGAGGAGGCTAGCGTTCTTAGGACAGAGTACTGGAGACAAGACAGCTGCACAGAGTTAGATCCCTGGAGAGCTGAAGATGACTCCCTTGAGTATTCAGCACATATGTGCGTGATGAAAAAACTATTCAAGGCTGAGAAAGCAACCATCCAAAAGGATTAGAGGGAACAGTACCTGGCACTCACACAGGATTGAGAACAGTTCCATCAGCCAGACTGGAAAAACTCATAATTCAAGGAAGGTCCTGTCTGAGAAGTAGGAAATTATTAGCCCTAGACTGAACAGCTCTCCAAAAAAATCAGAAAGGCAGGAAAGAAAGCTTAAATTATGTCAGTGTAAACTAATTGCATCCCGGAATAAAGCACCAAAGGAGAAAAAATTCACAATGTTTTTCATCAAATTGAAGATTAAAAGGCATGCAAAGAAGTAGGAAGACATGATGCATCAAGAGAATGTGTAGAAAATTGAAACTGACCAAGAACTGCTACAAATGTTATAAATAGCAAAAATGGCATTAAAACAATCATTATAACCATATTCCATATGTTCAATATGTTCAGCAGGGACATAGAAAAAGACCTAATTCAAAGTTTTACAGGTGAAAAATAAATGTCTGATGTGACACATATATTGGATGGAATTAACAGCGGATTACACACTGCAGAAGAAAAAAATTAGTGAAATTGAAGATATAGTCATAAAAATTATCCAACATGAAAAAAAGAAAGAAAAAAATTGAAATAGTGAAAAGCATTAATGAGTTGTGGGGAAACTTCAAGCAATCCCAGGAACATGTAATTCAAATTCCTGAAGGAGAGAAGTGGAGGGGCAGAAAAAATTATTTGAAGAAATAATGGCAAGAAATTCTCCAAACTTGGTGAAAATTTTAATCACAAATATAGAGGTCAGTTCATTAAAAGGATATAAGAATTTTAAACTTTGATATTCCTAATAACAGGGCTTCAAAATACGTGAAGCAAAAACTGATACAATTGCAAGGAGAAATAAAAAAATCCTCAGTAAAAAATTTCAATACTCTTTTCTCAGTAAATTATAGAACAAGTAGAGAGAAAGTTAGCAAGACTATAGTATACTTAACAAAACCATCAACCAACTGGCCAGGCAGGGTGGCTCATGCCTGTAATCCTAGAACTCTGGGAGGTGCCAGTGGGAGGATTGCTTGAGCTCAGGAGTTTGAGACCAGCCTAGGAAATATAGCACAACCACAAAAATAAATAAACAAATAATAAATAAATAAATAAATAAATAATTTGCCAGGCATGGTTGTGTGTACCTGCAGTCTCAGCCACTTGGGAGGCTGAGGCAGGAAGATCCCTTGAGCTCAGGAGTTTGAGGCTACACTGAGCTACGATCACACCATTGCACTTCAGCTTCGGTGACAGAGTAAGACACAATCTCAAAAACAAACAAACAAACAAAAAACCCAAACAAACTGGGTGCAGTGGCTCACGCCTGTAATCCAAGCACTTTGGGAGGCCGAGGTGGGTGGGTCACCTGAGGTCAGGAGTTCGAGAGCAGCCTGGACAACATAGTGAAACTCTGTCTCTACTAAAAATCCAAAAAAATTTGGCCAGGCATGGTGGCAGGCGCCTGTAATCCCAGCTACTTGGGATGCTGAGGCAGGAGAATTGCTTGAACCTGGGAGGTGGAGGTTGCAGTGAGCAGAGATCGCGCCATTGCACTCCAGCCTGGGTGACAAGAGTGAAACTCCGTCTCAAAAACAAAAACAAAAACGAAAACAAAAACACCCCAAACCAAACCAAACAAAAAGAACTATCAACCAACTGATTTGACATATATAGATTACTCTACCCAACAACAGAAAAATATGCATTCTTCTCAACTATACATGAAACATTTACCAAGAAAAATCATATGATCAGCCAAAGCACAAGTTTTAATATATTTAAAATGGCTCATGTCAGCAAAATATTTCTCTGATCACAATGGATTGATATTAGAAATCAAGAGCAAAAGGTATCTGCAAAATCTCCAAATGTTGAATGGGAAACCAAATAACATATTTGTAAATGAGCCATGGGTCAAATAAGAAATCAAAGTGGAAATTAGTAAGTAGCTTGAACCGAATCAAAATGAAAACAAAATATTGAAATTTGTGTAATGCCATGAAAGTAGTATTTATGAGAAATTAATGGCAGTAAACACCTGTAGAAAATAAGAAAGGTCTCAAATTGATGACCTCAGCTTCTATATTAAGATATTAGAGGCTGGGCGTGGTGGCTTACGCCTGTAATCCCAGCACTTTGGGAGGCCGAAACAGGCGGATCACGAGGTCAGGAAATCGAGACCATCCTGGCTAACATGGTGACATCCGTCTCTACTAAAAATACAAAAAATTAACCGGGCGTGGTGGCGGGCGCCTGTAGTCCCAGCTACTCGGGAGGCTGAGGCAGGAGAATGGCGTGAACCCGGGAGGCGGAGCTTGCAGTGAGCCGAGATCGCGCCAGTGCACTCCAGCCCGGGAGACAGAGCCAGACGCCGCCTCACACACAAAAAAAGACATTAGAAAAAGAAGAACAAATTAAGCCCAAAGTAAGAAAAGAAATAATAAAGACCAAAGTGGGTATCAATGAAATAAAGACAATAAAATGGAGAAAATCAATAAAAGTTGGTTTTCTGAGAAGTCTAATAAAATTGATGAAACTTTAGCCATACTAATTAGGCAAAAAACAGAGAAGTCAGAAATCTCAGGAATGAAATGGTTGACTTCACTGAGTATCCAATAGCTATTAAAAGGATAGAAAGGAGATATTATGAAAAACTTTATACGTACAAATTTTAGAACTTTGATGAAATGAATGGATTATTTGACAGACACAAACTACTAACGCTCACTCAAGAAGACAAACTAAATAGCCCTATATCCATCAAAGTATTAGAATTTATAGCAATTTTTTTCCAACAAAGCAAACTGTAGGCCCAAATGGCTTCAATAATAAATTCCATTAATACTTAAGAAAAATATAAACTTACACAAACTCTTCCATGTAATTGAAAAGCAGCGAATATATCCTAACCCTTTCACTGAGGTCATCATTACTCTAATACAAATACAGGAAAGAAAAAAAATACAAGAAAAAGGCATTCCAATGAAAGAAAATTACAGAACATACCCTTTATTAACATAGACACAACATTTCTAAACAAAGTGTTAGCAAATTGAATCTAACAATATATAAAGAGAATAATACAAAATAATGAAGTGGTGTATATTGCAGGAATGCAGGATTTGCTTAATACCTGAAAATCAGTCAATGTAATCACTGTATTAAAAACTAAAAACTACCAAAAAAGCCATATAATCATCTAAATAAATACATGAACTTAACAGTATTCATCATCCATTCCTGGTAAAAACTATCAGTAAACTAGGAATAGAAGAGAACTTCCTACACTGATAAACTATTTTCTCCTAAGATCAAGAATAAAAAAAGAATGTTTGTTCCTACCAATTCTATCCAATACTGTATGGAAAATTGTGGCCAGTGCATTAGCAAGAAAAAAAAAAAGACATTCAAATTGGAAAAGAAATAAAACTGTCTTTATTAGCAGATGCTATTATTATCTGTGTAGGAAGTCCAATGGAATCTACAAAAAAAAAAAAGACTATAACTAATAAATTTAGCAAGGTTGCAGAAAGTAAGGTCAGTAGTCAACAATAATTTATTGTATTTCTATACTAGCAATAAATAATCATAAATTGATAAAAAAGTGCCATTCACAGTAGCCTCAAAAAGTAAAATACAAAGGACATGAAAGATTCATTTACTGAAAACTACAAAGTATTGAGAAAAATTAAAGAAGACCTAAATAAATGGCAGTATATACCCCGCTACCTTATTTATGTGTCAGAACATTCAATATTGGTAAAATGTCAATTCTCCTTAAATTCATAAATAGATTAAATGGAATCCTAATCAAAATTCCAGTAAGATTTTTTTTTTTGTAGAAACTGAGAAGCTGATTCTAAAACTCATATAGGAATACAAAAGACTTAGAATAGCCAAAACAACTGAAAAAAGGGAACAAATTTGGAAGACTAATGCTATAATACCTAGTTTCAAAACCATTTATAAAGCTACAGAAATCAAAGAATTTCACACAGCCATAAAGATAGACAAACAGATCAATGGAAAAGAATAGTGTCCAGAAATAAACCCACACATATGTGGACAATCAATTTTTGAGGAAGGTGAAAAAATGAAAAAATTCCATGGAGAAAAGATAGCCTTTACAACTGATGTTGGCACAAGTGTATATCCATATGCAAAAACAAATACACAAAACCCCATATATTTTGGTTCATACTGTATTCAATTATATAAAGAAGTTAATTCAAAATGAATCACAGACCTAAGTGACAAATCTAACATGATAATAATTCTAGATGTAAATAGAGAGGATAATCTTGTATCTAATGTTAGGCAAAGAAATCCTAGATAGAACATACCAGCAAAAGCACAATCCGTGAAAGAATAATACAAGAAGATACAAGGACATGTATCTGGGATATGTAAAGAACTCTCAAAACTCAATAATAGTAAGAATGATAATAAAGGACCAACCCAATAAAAAGTAGGCAAAAGACTTGAAGATTTACAAATGGCAAAAAATCACCTAAAAAGATGTTCACTTATTAATTATTAAGCAAATGCAAATTAAAACCACAATGAGAAGTCACTACAGACCATGCAAAAATGGCTAAAATTTAAAAACTGACCATACAAAGAGTATGGGCAAGAATGTGGAGGAACTGAATACCGGCATACTGATGGTGGGATTGTGAAATGATACTGCTACTTTGGAAAACAGTTTGACAGCATCTTTGAAAGTGACATGCAACTACCAGATGATCCAGCCGTGTAGTTCCTAGGTTTCTACCCAAGAAAATTACTCAAAGACTTGTACACAAATGTTCATAGCAGCTTGATTTGTAATAACCAGAAACTGGAAACAATCCACATGTCTATCAACATGTGAATGGGTAAACAAGTGGTGGTATATTCTTACAACGTAACACGACTGAGCGACAAAATGTAATGAACTATTAATACAAAGACCAAAATGGATGAATTTTAAGATAATTAGGATTAGGGGAAGAAACCAGACAGAAAATAAATACATACTTTATAATTCCATTTACATATAACTCTAGAGAGTGCATGCTAGTCCATAGTAACATAAAAGAAATTCGTGTTTACCTGAATAGGGGAGTATGAAAGAAATTACACATTTATGAGTGATGGAAACATACAGTATTTTGATGGTGGTGATAAGCTTCATGGGTTTATGCATATGTCACTCTGTATGGGCTGTGAGGATTAAATGCATGTAAGTATGTGCAGGAAAAATCTAAAAAATGTAAAAAAGTTTATACTTATTAAATATTAATAAAATATCTGAATTGAATTATTTCCCATATCAAAGTTTTTATAATTTTTCAACTACTTTTTTACAGATAGAACCTTTCTTCTCATCTTCAGTAGTTTTGTTTTTCATCCTCTGCCTTCCATGAGTTCTTTTGTTGACTTCTCTTTTTATAGTTATTCTAATAATGCGTTCATAATGCCATGGAGATCCACTTCTTTTGCTGCCATTGACTTTCTTTGTCAGTGAGGGCAGTAGGCAGTGTAATGGTTTCTGGATTTAAAAAATCAACCTAGTAAATACCTTTTGGATGAAGAAGTGTATTGCTAAACAGATGATCAGAACGTCTCTGCTTTCAACAAACTCTATTAAAGTGTCACATATGATTGATCAGCTTTTACATTAAGAAACCTAACATTTAGCATGTAATAAGTAACAATAGGATTAAACTCACTGTCCCCTTAATTAATAAAAATAATTCATAATAAGGAGATTCCTGATTACATTGGACGCTTTAGAATAATAACAGGGAAAATGTAGGCTATTTCATAATTCTAACCCTTGGAGTTTTTCATTTTCAGTGGCTAATGAAAGAGTGAAATAATCTACAAAATCCTATCTGCTCATAGATGGTGTAACTGGGACTCCTGTAAGGAAATATCAGAATTGTAGTCTTCTTAACTCACGCAGGGGTGTTAGAGGTGGGATGGAAAGTAGGGAGAACTGTGCAGTGGGTCAACTCAAAGAATCCAATCTTGGAGTTCTGCCTTTGCTTTCCAGTATAGAAAGGAGACACAGGCTGGAGAAATCTAAAGATGAGGCAGCATAATTATAGCAAGTCTCTCAGTTCGGAAGGGCTATGTTGGTGGCACAAAATAGCCCAGCAATTTTCTCTCCGCTAAATGAAAGAGAAGGGAAGTATAAAGAGCAGTAGTGATTATTTAATAAGGGTTAAGAGCAACTAGAGACAAATAGCATTTCATCATTGCCCTGTAATAATACTTTTTATTCCTTGTGTGTATAGACAAACATGTAAATAAAAAAGTTTACATATACATTTATTTTCATAAACTGTTTTTTAGAGATGTGTACATAAATAGCGTAGCAACAGCTTATGTTGATGTTTTTCAACCACAGCGGGTCATATTAAACCTGTTAGGGGAAGAGGGTGGAATCAACAATTTTCCTCAATACAGTCTACACTTTAAGAAATATAGAAGTATTACTTTGTATAGCAATTCATGATTGCTTCAATATGTGACTATGTGTGGTCTACTGCTTTAGAATATTGTGAGCCAGGCTTCCTGCCTTCCTTCTCTTTCTTTCTCTCTTTCTTTCTCTCTTTCTCCCCTTCCTCCCTTCCCTTCCCTTCCCTTCCCTCCCCTCCCCTCCCCTCCCCTCCTCTTTCTTTCTTTTCTTATTTTCTTTCTTTCTTTCTTTCTTTCTTTCTTTCTTTCTTTCTTTCTTTCTTTCTTTCTTTCTTTCTTTCTCTCTCTCTCTCTCTCTCTTTCTTTCTTTCTTTCCTTCTTTCTTTCTTTCTTCGACAGGGTCTCACTTTGTCACCCAGGCTGGAGTGCAGTGGTGCAATCACAGCTCACTGCAGCCTCAACTTCTCAGGCTTAAGTGATCCTTCTGCCTCAGCCTCCTGAGTAGCTGGGAATACAGGCGTGCACCACCACGCCTGGCTGGATTTTGTATTTTTTTTTTTTTTTTTTTGTAAAGACAGGGTTTTGCCATGTTGCCCAGACTGGTCTTGAATCCTGGGCTCAAGCAATCCACCTCCTCAGCCTTCCAAAGTGCTGGGATTACAGGCCTGAGCCACCACACCCTGAGTTATCATTTCCTTATCAATCACTTTTCTTATAGAATTGCTTGTAGTCATCTATAGTCTGAATTGTAACCACTGTTCTAGACAGTTTTGTCTGTTATATGGGTTAAGAACCTATAAAAACTGTTTCCATTTTGGGTTTTCTGTGTCACTATGGAAACTATCCATGAGTTAAGTGTTTGCGAATGATTTGTAGTCTTTGAGGAAGCAAACTTTGAATGAAATAAATCTCTTCATGACCCATTTTTTTTCAAAAGGGTTTTGTTTGTTTATAGTTTTTTACCTTCCTTTTTTTTTTTTTTTTAGAGACAGGGTTTCACTATGTTGCTGGGGCTGGACTCAAGCAATCCTCCTGCCTCAGCCTCCCAAGTAGCTGGGATTACAGACCCACACTACTGCATCTAGCCCCATTTTTTTTTTGTGTGTGTGAAAACTGTATAATTTTTTTCCCCTTAAAATTCAGTGTCCAGTTTTGTTCTTTTAGTTTTTGTTTCTTTCGTTTGGTTACTGATGTGCTTTCAATTTTTGCTTTATCTATCTCACTAACTCTTTGCAAATTCCTCTGCTTCCTCTTATGCAGTTATGTGACAGCATTGAACAGCTGTCACGGCCTGTCTCCGAAGTGACCATTCCTGATCTGACATTTATTCAGTCCAGAATTTCAAATAGACAAAGATCCTTTCAACATCATATGTGGCCAAGATGCTCCTCTTTTTCTAATAATTTCTTGGCATGAAATTAATTTTTCGTTCCTTTTTATAGTAAAATTTAGATGAAGCTAAGTTGGCATAACATTATTATTCATAAAGCATAACCAAAGTATTTAAATCAAGTATTTTAAAATATTAACTTATTTAATTCACACTAGTTATTTATATTTTTTTCTGACTTTTAGGTTCAAGGAGTACATATGCAGGTTTGATACACAGGTCAATTTCATGTCACAGGGATTTAGTGTATAGATAATTTTGTTACCCAGGTAACCAGCATAGTACTAGATAGTTTTTCAATCCTTACTCTCCTCCCCATCTCCACCCTCAATAGTACCAGTATCTATTGTTCCTTTCTTCATGTCCATGTGTACTCCATGTTTAGCTCCCATTTATAAGTGAGAACATGTAGTATTTGTTTTTGTGTTCCTGCACTAATTTGCTTAGAGTAATGCTCTCCAGCTCCATCCATATTACTGCAAAGGACATGACCTTATTATGTGTTTATGGCTGCATCACATTGCTTATTTTTCTTAAAAGGTTTTTAATATCTGTAATGACTAGGATATGTATTTAGAATTTTATCCAAGAATATGGTGGCTTCCTAATGTTTTTGGTAATAGTATTCTAATTGCAATGCTGTAAAATTAACTTTAGAGAATAAGCACATGAATAATTTAATATTTAAATAGGAATTTAGAAATTTTTTTCCCATAGATCTCCAGTAATATAGACTACAAACTCAATGAAATTTTGTGTTAAATATGGCTTCATTAAATTAATAATTATTTAATGATTTTGGGAAAAGAGTGTAGGTAACAAATTAATACTTTGCTGTCTTAGAAAATGCTTAATTTTTTTAAGGATAAAATTACATAATTTTTAGATTTCAATAGAATAATTTTTATTCAATGAGTATATTGATTATAAGTGAATCTTACACATTTAAAGCAACTTCGATGGTTATTATTTAACAGTACTTTTCCAATTTTATCAAGATAATACATGTACTAAAATAACAGAATTGTATTTTCTGAATGTTCTCTAATTTAGATATTTTTTAAGTTGTACTGAGATATAATTTCACACACCATGTAATTCACCCATTTAAAGTGCACAACTCAATAGCTTTTAGTAGAGTCATAGACTTGTGTAACCATCACTGCAATCAACCAATTTTAGAACTTTTTTGTCACCCCCAAATAAAACCATGTGCAGTACCCATTAGTGGTTGCTCACTATCATCCCCTGCTCTCAGCTACAGACCTAGGAAATCTTTAATTTACTTTTTATCTGTACAAATTGCCTGTTTTAGAACTTTTACGTGGCTAGAATCATACACTATATAGTCTTCTGTGGCTGGTGTCTTTCACGCAGCATAGTGTTTTCATGGTTACCCGTATTTTAGCATGGATCAATATTTCTTTTCTTTTTACCGGTGAATAGTGTTCCATTGTGTGTATATACCACATTTTATCTACCCATTCAACAATAGACATTTAAGTTATTACTACTTTTTTGGCTAATGTGAATAATTCTCCTATGAAAATTCCTATACAAGTTTTTGTGTGGATATGTTTTCATTTCTCATGGGTATATACCTAACAGTGTAATTGATGGGTCATATGGTAACTCAGTGTTTAACCTTCTGAGAAGCTTCTAAACTGTTTTCCAAAGTGGCTGCACCATTTGACATTCCTACCAACAATGTATGAGTTTCCCAGTGTCTTCACATCCTTGGAAATCCTTGTCATGGTGTGTCTTTTTGATTATAATCATCCAAATGGGGACAAGTGAGTGGTCTCACTGTGGTTTTGATTTGTATTTCCCGGATAGCGAATTAGGTGAACATCTCCATGTGTTTATTGGCAATTGATGTATCTCCTTTGGAGGAAGATCTACTCAGACTTTTTATCTATTTTTTAAATTGGGTAATTTTTCATTTTATTATTGAGTTATAGACTTTTTTAGATGAATGAGGGTAGTCTCCCTAAAACAATTTTTAAAAATTGATGAGTTTTAACTGACACAAAAAAATGATTTCCACTTTTGATGTAGAGTTTGTTCTAATATATAACACTGGTTTTATGTAATACTATCAATTATAACTTATACTTGAATCCAAAATAAGTTATTATAGCAAAACATGATTTCATTAAGCAATACTTTAAAAATAATGCTATCTTCTCTTTCAAAGACATGTACAGAATATTTTAGAAAGCAAAAACTGCTTAGTGGTTAACAAATTATAGGACTTTTACAAAGAAGACTTTGGCATTTAGACAGTGACAATGTTACTTGAGTAAAAGTAATTTTTTTAAATGATGCTAAATTTTTCATAGTTTACCTTAGTAATTTTCCCTTGAATATTCGTGTAGGAAGATTAACAATGTTGTCAACACCAGCTACAGTTCTGAATCCTAAAAACTTGAAGTTGGCTGGATGTCATTACAGAAAATAAAAATATTTTCTGTGAAAGAACAGTATTCTAAGATACTGATCCCACAGTTCCTTGGAAATACATCTTCAGTTTTTAACATGGAAGCTTTTGTAGATTGACAAGGTAAATTACAATATATGTGAAAATGCTAAGAACATGGTTTAGAAGAAAGCAGGATTGTCAATATATTTTTTGAGACTATTCATCAAAAGTCTCCAAGAACAATACAAATTATTTGTTAAAAAAATTGTGTTCTTCACATGGACACAGAGAGGGGAATATCACACACCGGGGCCTGTCGAGGGGTTGGGGGCTAGGGGAGGGATAGCAATAGGAGAAATACCTAATGTAGATGACAGGTTGATGGGTGCAGCAAACCACCATGGCACGTGTACACCTGTGTAACAAATTGGCACATTCTGCATATGTGTCCCAGAACTTAAAGTATAATAAAAAAATGTTCTTGGCATTTTCTCATTTATACATATCCTTTTCACTCTAAAAATACTATATTTCAAAATTTTAATTACTACAGATTATCTTCTTTTTATTTAAACAAATCATGATTAATGTGTAAAATGTTTCTTATAATCATTAAGTTTCCTGAGAAGATAAATCTGTCTGATGATTCATAGAACCACAAACACTTAAGTATATAGTATTAAGTATAATAAGTACTAATACATGGGTATTGAATAAATGAATTAAATATAAAATGTCTTAATTTTTTTCTGAGGTAACCTCTCTAGATATGGCACAGGATCTCAGGACCTGTAAGAGTAACTGGTGAAAAGGGAAATAAAACGCTGATCTGTTGATTTTCCTGGGAGACCTGCAGTTATTGGGATGTGTTCTGTAAGCTTCTGTCATCTAAACCCTAAGATCCTGTGAATCCCAATAAGACCGAGTGTCCATCACATTCTTGTCCCATGGGCACTTCTCAGCTGCGTTTGTGTTCAGTCCTTTTCAGGTTCTCCCAGGAAAAGAAAAGGACAAGGAAATACAAAGCTCACACTTTGATCTAATCTCCATTTTATTCCTTGTGTATAACTAATTGTATTAGTTTCTGAATTATTCATTCTTTTATATTATTTACTCAACAATTTACAAAACAAATGCTGATTACCATTGGAAAGATTGTATAAATTATCTATTCTGTACATCACTCCTGATACTGAATTCTTTTTTTTTTCTTAGCAAATGCCATATTTTCACTTCAGCAAACCTGTGTAACAATGACCATGCCGGCCAGTGCTGAGAAATTATAAAAAATTAAAAGCATTTGACTGGCAACCAGTCAATTATTTCAACAATTTTCTTTTACTTGTAAGAATGCAAGCAATCTTAGGCATGAGTTACTATTTTTAGAGTCCTAGTTATAATATGCTTCTTTCAATTCTAGGCTCAATTAAGAAATTAAAATTATATAGAAAGGAACAAGTATAACAACAGAGCTTACTTCACCTCAGTCATGAACAAATAACATTTTTCCCCTCATGATATAGATATGCTGTGGATGAGAAAACTAAATTTCCTCTGCATTAAAAAGAAGATTGAGAAAGTAAAATATGGAAGGGATTTTTTTTTGGAAGAAAGGACCTTAGAGATGTAATCTAGTGATTACTCAACTGCTTTTATTCTGCAGATGAGGAAATTTAAACTCAGAAACATTCATTTCATACATGAGAAACCAGACTATAAATCTGAAAACAGCTTACAGTAACAATTAACTATCTGCAACATATCCACCAAAAAGAAAATATGCAAAAAATAACCACTTGCTAGACAAATGCCACAAACCTGTGGTCAAAAGATAAAGAACTTTACTCAAGCACTGCCAATCTTTCTTGTTCCAGAATTACTACCAAACTCACAGGGGTTCAAGTTCATCAGTGATTAGAAATAGAGATTAGAGGCCGGGTACGGTGGCTCACACCTGTAATCCCAGCACTTTGGGAGGCTGAGGCAGGCGGATCACCTGAGGTCAGGAGCTCAAGAACAGCCTGGCCAACATGATGAAACCCTGTCTCTACTAAAGAAAAAAAATACCAAAAATTAGCCGGGCGTAGTGGCGGGCGCCTGTAATCCCAGCTACTCAGGACAATGAGACAGGAGAATCGCTTGAACCCGGAAGGCAGAGGTTGCAGTGAGCTGAGATCGTGCCTTTGCACTCCAGCCTGGGCAACAAGAGTGAAACTCCCTCTCAAAAAACAAAAACAAACAAACAAACAAAAAATAGAAATAGAGATTAGAAATTAGAATTGAGGATAAAGGCTTCTAGTTTGTCCTCAGCAGCAAGTGATAGATGTTCTGCAAAGGAAAATAAAATGGTTTTTTACCCTTGATTGACCAGTTTTTGACGCCATGCCAAATTGGCTTTATTTTATTCTGTCTCAGTCATTCACACATATATATACAGTTATTATTTTCATCGAAACCATTTGAGAGTAGATCACGTATACCATGTTCCTTTACCTATTAATAGTTTAGTATATATTTCCTAAGAACAAGGATATTCTCTTACATAACCACCATACAGTTAGCAAATTAAGGAAAGCTCGCACTTTGATCTCATCTCCATTTTATTCCTTGCACATAACTAATCATATTAGTTTCTGATTTATTCTTTCTTGATTGTTTTTGAAAACATAAGCAGATAGATATATTGTCTTATTTCCCTAAATAGTATTGTTTTGTACAATAAGTCCATTAAAAAACCCTGCAAAGCCAAATGATGTAAAAATATTTTTGTACATTTTGAAATATTTTTGTACTTTCCTATATGTTCTGGCCTTCCTTCTTTCCCAACTGTTTCAAACCTCTTAGCACAAACCAAACCTAACTTTCCAAGGAAATGGTGTTTTAAGCAATAAGGAATCTGTGAGAGCTTCCAAACCAGGAATTAATATGATCAAATCTGAGATTTAGAAAGCAGACTGTGGCAGTGTATGAAAGAGGCAATAAAACAGGAGACAGTTATGAAGTTATGGTAGTTTTTCAGGTAAGAGATGCTGAAAGTCTGAATTAGGGTCATAGTAGGAGGAGTAGAAAGTGGAAAAAGATGACCATCATCTGAATTTGGAGAATGAAGAAGAGGAAGAAAGTGAAGATGCTAGAAAGACATTGCTATCATTATCTGAACTAGGAAACGGAAGGTATATATTAGGGAGAAATATTAATGGTTTGGTTGTAAATCTATTGAGTTTCAGGTATTGGTGTCATATCTATGTAGAAAGGTTTAGGGCACAATGTAATAACATAAAGCAATACAGAGAAAAAACAGGGTGCTGTACAGACTGGATGCTGAGGAAATAGTTTGCTTGATAGTTTCGTTTGCATTATTTTCACGCAGAACCATCTTCTCCTCTTTGGACCTGCACAGCTAAGACTGCAGTGAACAAAGGAAGATGCTCCTTCAGGGTTAAACCAGTAGATGAGGCTGATGCATAGTGGTCTTGGTTATATATTCTACACGGTTGCACAGAACTACTTAAAAATCTAGTCTTTATGAAAGTAACGATATACCAAATGTATTTTGTAATAATGCATGTGGTGTCTGTAAAGAACTCTGAATATTGGGTGTTTTTTTAAAAAAATGTTCTCCCTGTAAGTTCTGAATGACATCTGAGGATATAATATGTGGGTATGAATATAGTTCAATATCCAGTTCCCACCCCTGTTCCTGGAGAAACACACACACACACACACACACACACAAAATGGTTTTCTGGGGAGACGTCAAACCTTTGTTGTTGTTAACATTTTTTCCATGGACAATAGATTTTATTTTTTCCTACATATAGTTTCCTGTTATGCCAGGAGAGAGGAAATGTTTTCTCTTGTTTCTAGCAAACAGACATGCATGGACAATGGGAAACTATGTTCAGAAGAGAGGAGGGAAACTTGCTCCCTGGCAGAGAGGACAGCTTTTATAAGAATCCTCAGTACCCCAATTTTGATACCCCTTTCTTCTCTACAGCCAATTTTTAGTAACATGATTGCAGTGTTCATGTCTGATCAATACCTACAATGGCTGGCCGTGAATACCTAAGAAGAATCACAGCACCGGATGTGGCAGAAGGAAGAAGATATTGAATTAGAAATAGTGATGATAATCTCCCTTTTCAGGCACATTGATGAAGATAAAGCACATTCCTATGAGAGCCCTGGTATCTTCCCTTTGGCCAGTAGGAGGAGTGGAATTGGTAGAACCTGAGACCCAGGAAGGCCTGTGCCCATCTGGCCATCCTGGCACCAGTTCAGATCTCTTGCCTTCAACACCTCTTTGCCATTTTTCTCTCACCTTATAGTCCGATTTAGACTCTGTTGATGACAAGCTGTGATGCACCAGCATAGTTCATTATGATTATAGTATTTATTTTCATTCTTATACTAATGTAACCATTATTTCACCACAATGTCTCTCCATTATCTTTCTGCTCATCTAAGAAGGGTTTATTATTTTCTGGACTCACAGGAGAAACAGAAGCTTTATATGTAGCAAGACAAAACATCTTAACTGTGACATGGGAACCTTGATTATATCCCTTCAGTTATTTTTATCATACATTTACTCTTCATGATATAATATTTTAATAACAGAACTGAAATTCTGTAGAATATTTGCTCTAACCATATGGTGTTCTTTATGAAATCTTCACAATAGATCAGAAAATAAATTGTTAAATGAAAAAATAAATTTATTCACCCACCACTTATAACTGATGTATATCGGAAAGGAGAGGAAGATTAATGCATAAGAATAAAATATAAAACAAACAATGTCAGAATATCAGATGGGTGCTTTTGCTCCCATGAATCAAGGGCATCTCAGTCACAGATGGCACACTGCTGATAAGATTTGGAGTTTTGAAATAATTTTGCTCTTGTAGGGGCCAAGGGAAAAACTTCCCCTTCACCCTCTGAAAGGTGACTGGAAAATATCAACTCAAAAAAGGTAAATTAATAAGAGAAATGGCATACAACTTATTAGCATGCACAAAGGAGGGTCATAGAGTAATTAGCCACCACACAATGGGGGTACAGATGGTTATATACCCTTCTAGTTAAGGGACATGGAGATGCGGATGTATGGATTATTTTAGGGGGTTAGTAAATTATTTTTAGGGGAATTCAATGGACTTGAACAACATACAGTGGCCAAGGATAGTCTGTTGGGCTTTCAGAGCAGACAATGGTTTGTGACAAAAGTCTGTCCAGATTTATTGACAGATTTCCGGTTTTTTTCCTCCAATAAGTTCAGTTAATACAAACTCAGGGAAGGGACCAGAGGTAACTGTTTTCGCCTTTGGTAGGTCCAGACTTTAGGCAGATCACGGAATTTCAGAGAACAACTTCTCCCTGTGCTTTGGGAGAGAGACTGGAGGTGGGGGTCATCAGAGAGACCCTGAAGCTTCTTTAGTTACGATGTCAAAGCACCAGATTTTGGGGTATTGGTGTCTGAGCCTAACACTCCTCACAAGATCTGTCAATAGATTAATCAAGTAGATAAACCTATCAAGTAGATTAGAGTAGGCAAACTACCATATACCAGTAGGCCAATGTAGCCTGCCTCCTGTTTTTCCAAATAAAATTTCACTGGAATCCAACCATGTCTATTCATCTACCGGTTGTCTGTGGCTCCTTCAGCACTGCAGTGGCAGAGTTGAGCGGTCGTGACAAAGACCAAGTGGCCTACAAAACCTGAAATATTTAATATCTGGCCCTTTACAGAGAAAACTTGCTGATATTTGAAATTGATTACACAGGCCAGGTGCAGTGGCTCACGCCTGTAATCCCAACACTTTGGGAGGCCCAGGCGGGCAGATCACCTGAGGTCAGGAGTTCGAGACCAGCCTGGCCAACATGGTGAAACCCCATATCTACTAAAAATAAAAAAATTAGCTGGGTGTGGTGGCATGCACCTGTAGTCCCAGCTACTCAGGAGGCTGAGGCAGGAGAATCGCTTGAACCCAGGAGGTGGAGGTTGCAGTGAGCCGAGATCGCACCACCGCACTCCAGCCTGGATGACAGAGTGAGACTGTCTCAAAAAAAAAGAGAAAAAAAAGAAATTGATTACACAGTTACAAATCAAACAATACAATAGCTCACGTCATTTTCTGTCTATGTGGAAGAAAATGCAATATGATTTATTCCAGGTTGTCTGTTTTGTTTTAATTTTTATTGCTTTTATTATGTGAAAATTAGAAATAACATTGGGTTTCCAACTTATCTTCTTAAACATATTTCCTTTTGAAAATATTACCAAAGTTAATGGTATTGAGCTTCTCTCCAAATTTTGTAAATAGCATAACAATCTCATTATAATCTAGGTATTATCTGTGTTAGCAATTGCCATTTCAATTATTAAGCAAAGAAATATGCTGATATCTTTGTTAACATACTAAGGGTTAAAAAACTTTATTTTTTAAGCTAAATTTTAGTTTATCTTTCTAATCATTTTAATAATCTGATAACCAAATCTAGGAAAGTATAAATCTCCTTTAGGATTGATCTCAATTTTTCTTTTCTTATTCTTGTACACTTCTTTAAGAGTAAAATAGGGTAATCACTTATTTTGATGATGGTATGATCAAAATAAGTCAACGTCCAAATCCTGAGTAAAGGCAATCTTTGATGGCTCCACTAATTATAGATTCTGCTCTAGAAATACTGACTAACATGAAGTTTTTGTAAGCTAGTCCCAAGATAGAAATGGCCCCTACCAGTGAAGTGAGTTGAATAGAGAGACTTAAGAAAGAAATTTTCTCCAATTTAATGACTTGGAGCTTTTTGAGTGCAAGTTGATGGAAATCTGAGAGTGTTACAGAGAGCAATGAGTAATGACATATCAGGGACAATTTAAGTGAATGGCTTTTGAGATTAAAGTGAATATCTGCATGAAAGTACTTCAGGGAGAGACAGTAATTGGAATTGGTTCTCACATTGGTAAGCTTCCCTGCACATCTGCACCTCAATGCATTTGGTATTGACATGGGGAATTGTTTGAGCCCCTTAGCATCTAGAGATCCTTGGCTATTTAAAATTGAAAATGCTGGTGTATATCTTAAAATGAATGATTACTATCCTACTAATTATTTTGAATTCTAAATGAAATTGTGACTCATGATAGGCGAAGTTTTCTTTGAAGAATTGTAATATAGTAAATACTATAAAACGTAGAGTTGCAGGCATAGATAAAGATGGGCTGTATTTGAACACACAATAAATTTGAAATAAAGCATGGGCATTTTCTATACTTTTTAAGTATTTATATTTTTTAGTCCTGCCAGTAACTTAGCCTAGAATAAACTCATTGCTGATTTCAAGTAGACAATTATTTTATTGGTGTAAGTTTTCTTTAACAACACATTTTATTTATGTGTTTGATTGGTTGGGCAAGCAAAGCACAAAATTTAAAAGAAACAATATGCAGTACAATGTTAATCTTGCCTCCCACTGCTGTCTGACAGATATCTAGTTATCTTTCCTGGAAGTAATCACTGTTACCATTTTCTTCTCTGTCCTCTCAGAGTCAGACTGTGCTATGCAAGCATTTTCTCATATGTTCTATTTAATAATGCAAATAGTACCATGTTCTTCACACAGTTCAGGGCTTTGATATTTTACCTTAATAATATACATTTGAGATTCTTATCTATCCAGCACTTCATTATTTTTAATACCTCACAATATTTTATTGTATGAATATACCATAATTGTTTTCAACTTTTTGTGCATCTGTGTGTTTGTGTGAGTGGTGTGTATGAGTGTGTGTTGGGGGGGTCAAATACAGAGGCTGTATTACGCAGGTCATGTCACACTATCCTATTGGGCTGAGTCACCTTTATTGCTGTATTTTATTTGCCTTTTCCTTCATCCTTGATCCCTAAATCCATTTTTTCCTCACTCTTCCTCCACCATAAGTATCACTTTAACATGTGTCATATTTTTTCTGGGATATGTATGTGTTGTTGTAAACTGTAAAATATTGTTTTGTGAGTGTGTCTTTAAAATTATATTAATAGCATTATGTTATTGCTCTAGTCCACACTTCATGGTCCCTGCTTCTGAATTGCTCCATGATACATGTCTATTAGTTTTAAATAATGTGTTTATTTCAGTAGTTTATCTATTAAGTAGTTAAAAAGCATGTCTATTAATTTTTCTAAATTTATTTCCCAGAAATATACACATAGGATGCTTCCAGGTTTCATGATCAAAATAATGCTGTAATGAACATATTAATACATACTCTTCTATGGATCTGTGCATGATGTTTCTATATCCAAGTGTAGCATTGCTGGTCATTCTCATAATTATTATGTATTGCAAATTGTTCCACATATCTGCTATATCAGGCTGTACTTTCACCTGAAACGGTTTCTATTTTTTCCTATCCTTGCCAAAACTTGGCATCATATAGCTTCGTAATTATTTTAATTTGCTAGATATACAATAATAAATAATTCTTTTATATATGACATTTCCCTTCCTATTCACATATTTTGTACATTGTTTTAACTTGAAATACAAATGATTTCCAAATTTGAAAAATATTCATGTCCTAGATAACACTGCCTTGTATTTTTTCTTGCAATATTCTCCCTTAATATTTCTCTCAAATCTTCTTTGTAAAGCAAATATCTTCAATTCTTAGATACTCATATCTATTAATATTTCACTTTATGCTGAATACTTTTGTATGTTTTATATTTTTTATTAACTTTAGTGTATTACATTTCACATTTTTATATGCTTTGCATGCCAAGTTTCATTTGCGCAAAGTGCAAGATGAGAATTTAAATTTATCTTTCTCTATAAATTTGCAGTTTTCTTAACAACATTGTTAAACAATCACTGTTCTGCTCACTGCTCTGTGGCTCCTCTATAACCATACAAGCTATCTGGCTGGGTCAGTTTTTAATATTCTCTTTTTTCCATTTACTAATTTTATTGTTTGTATTTGGAGCACAGTTTTTATTTTATGTCTATGCTGTGTGTCTTACTATTGAGCTACATGATTATATTTTCTCTTTTACTAATATCAGTAGGATGTGGATGTTATTTATACATGTCTTTTTCCTTATTATTTATCAGTCTGTCTAGAGGTTATCAATTGTAAAAAAATAAACCAGCTTTTAGTTTCATCTTTTTTTCTATTTTTTAAACTTTTAATATAATTGATTTATTTTCTACTCTTTATTATTTTCTTCCTTCTATTTGCTTTGGGTTTAATTTGCTTTTCTTTCTCTAGTGTCCTAATGTAAGTATTTAATGTTAGTATCACAATGAAATCTTCAGGCAATATTTTCTCACTGCATTTATTTGTCTGAAAAAGTATTTCACCTTCATTGCTGAAAGATATTTTCTCTAGGTATGGAGATCTGGGTTGACAGGCTTTTTTATTTCTTTCAAAAATTTAAAGCTGTGATTCCAATATCTTCTGACTTGTAGGCTTTCCGACGAGAAGGTGACTGTAATTTTTGTCTTTGTTTCTCTGTAATGTGATGTGTCTTTTCACTGGCTGCCTTCAAAATTGTCTTTTTATGTTTTTCAGCCCTTTGAATAGGATATGTCTAGGCATATGATATTTTTCAGTCTTGCTTTGCAATCGCTTAGCCTCTTGAATCTTTTTTAAATGTCTTTCATTATTTTTGGAAAATTTATCTTTTCAAATATCTCTCTCGTTTTGTGCTCTCTCCTCCTTCTGGGTCTTCAATTACAAGTATTTAGATGATTTGAAATTGTCACACAGCTTTTTGATGCTCCGTTCTGTTTGTATTCATTCTTTTTTTCTCTGTCTTTAAGCTTTGGTGATGCCTGTTGACCCATCTTCAAGTTCATGATTCTTTCCTTAGCCAGGCCAAGTCCATTGTTGAACCTGCTGAAGGAATCCTTCAAAGGATCTTTTATTATGCCCTAGGGCTGACCAGCTTTATTTTTCTGCTTGAAGCATTTGCTTCTCTATGAGACAAGGGATCAGGCAGGGAAGAAGGGTTTTTATTTTTCCTGCAATGGCAGCTACTCCCTCCTCCATGCCTTCATCAGCAGAGGAGGTCCTCCTGTCTCTTATCCTGTTCTCTTGAACAGCCACTGGAGATCTATGGAAAAGAGCTTGTGAGTAAATTTAAATTCCCCTTGTATCTGGAGCTATCAGCTGCTCTATAATGTTGTGCTGGTCCACATTAAGTTTTTAGTTATTTATAAAAATTTTAGGTGATTTCTTCTTACCATCTTTGATGGCTCTGTTTTTCCCCCTGCATTCTACCATAGATGAGACAGTCCATACTTCCCCTCTCTCCTTGTGGAAGCCTTCCCCAAAGTGGATATTCAGGCTGTTTGGTTACTCTGTAGCATCAGCTTTTCGATAAGTTCAAGGAAATTTATGATTTTGTACTTATCTGGCTTTTTCATATTAGAATGAGAGAAGCCCTCTTTGTAGCTCTCTAAATCCTAGGTGTAAGAAAAACTCTCTTAATAATGCTTTTAATGAAACTTAGGGTCAGTGTGTTTTGTTTCAAAAATAAATTATTTTTGTGATTTTTTTGTTGTAATTCTAAACAATTTGTAAGTTGACTAAATAGAATTAACATCCTATGATGTGAAGTCTTCCTATTTACATGTTATGATGTGAAGCTTCAATAACAAGTTGTGCCTTCACAATTTTTCAAATCTCTTTTTGCATCCTTCGGGGGCATTTAAGTATTTCTGTTTGTACATCTAGCTTACTTTCTAAGTTTATTTCTAGGTATTTGATTTCTTTTTGTTTCTGAAATATGGGTTATGTCTTCCAACTGGTAGTTTTTTGGGGATGTGAAGATTATTGATTTCTATACATTCAATTATGTACACAGCTTTATGAAATTCTTACTACTTGTAATTATTTTCCAGATGATTTGTTTATTCTTTTTCCCTGAAAAACAACCATGTAATTTAAATATAATGATAATATTATTTTCCTAATTTCGAATTTTATATATTTTTTCTAATCTAATTATACTGATACATCCAGAATAATGTTAATTATAATAGTAATAAAATATATACTTGTATTATTTTCTATTTCAATTAAAGTGCTGCTAATATTTCTATATTAAGCATGATTTACATAACTGAAATGTCAACTTATTTCCATGTTATTGACAATATTTACAATTATGTTAGCTTTCTGTTAAATGCTCTTTCAGTATCTAAAATATGAAAATTAGTATATGATTTTTCTTCAGTGACTCCTTCATTAATATTTGAAATTAATACATAGATATGCTAACATTTATCCATCCTCTCATTAGACTAAATAACCCTTCTCATGCTGTATTATTATTTTAATGTGCTCTTGGGTTCTGTTTACTATTATTTTCACATTCATAATCATGAAATAAGACTGATTTCTACTTAGCTTTTGTTCCTGCTATTGCTTTTGGGTTCTAGATCCATATTATAATCATTTTCTAAAGAGTGCTTGAGTTCTTTCAGTTTTTTCCCTGTATTTTTAAACTGCATAGATTTCATTGTAGTTATCTTTTCCTTTCAGGTTTGGTAGAAAACCTTGAGAAAGAGTTTGAACCTTGGATTTTCAGGAATAATAATTTTATAGTGACATTTTTTGGATTATCAATGTTAGTAATATTTTTGACTGTTTCTGGAATTAATTTTCATGTTCCCAGAAAATAACCTATTTTATACAAGTTCTCATTGTCATTGAGCAGAGTTGAGCAAAATATCTACTCATAATTCTGGTAATTTCTGATTGTAGTTATTTCCACAGAAACATTTCAATATTTTGTATTTGCACTTCTACTCTTTTTCTTGGTTAACTTTTAATGATTAATCTATTTTGTTATATTTAAAAGCAAAAAATTCTTACATTTAAAAATTCTAATAATTTAATTTTAATCGATAAAAATCTGTTTTTATGTTTATTAACTCAATTTATTTTCTAAAGGATTGTTAATTTTTTAATTAACTCTCAAGTTAAATTCTTTATTTATTACATTTATACATTTTCTGAGCAATGCTTCAGTTTTATTAGATATGTCTGTTTAAAGTTTCTACTCCATCATGAACTTGAATTTCTTTCAGAAATTATTTCCTTATGCCCAATATACTTGCATACTTATTTTTACTTAAACAAATTAGCCTTAAAGTACTTTAGTTACTTTGGAGTGACTCTGTATAATTAGTAAATTAAAATGTGCTTATCTAATGCGGTAGTGTACCACATATATACATGGGAAATATTTTTTTTCCCTATCTGAGAGAAGGAAGCATTTTTATTGCAAGGAACAGTAATAACATAAAAACGAATAAACCAAGGTTCTAAGTTTGATGTACTAGTGTTCTCTTTTGCTTGGCTAACTTGAATATCCATGGACTGAGAATAACAACTTCTAGTCTGACTTCTTAAAAATTGGAAAATGCAAGTGGAAAGCAGGAATCTCTGGCCATCTCTTTGGGACTGTTCACATTCCCAGTTGTCCCTGCTTGGATAACAGGAACCCTAGTCTTACAAGTTGTGGCTGGATGCAAAAACCAGTGGCTCTACTCTTAAAGGGGACAGACTGACTCAATCAGGGTAGGAGACAAAAATTCCAGCTTTGCTAATTGAAAGTAGTGGTGGACTGAATTGTGAATGAGCAGGGAAAACCTTCTAGCCAGACATTTCACAGGCAGAGTCTGGAAACAAGGGAGCCATAGAAGTGCTGAGATAAGCTCTCTACAACTGTTGCTTCACTGGGAAACTTTAAATGTGCAGGACAGATCAAACAGACACAGAAATATAAAAAGGAAAAAAGTCCTATGGAGACTTGAGAACAAGCTGCAACTTTGAATATGTTTTTCAAAGTACTTACAGATGGATTGAGAGGGCTGGAAGCCTAACATGCTCCAGGTGTTTGAACAAAACCTCTGCTCAAATAATTAGCTGACCTCTTAGCTAGGCAGATACGAGATGCAACACCTAGGACACCAGGCTGAAAAATAAGTGTAAGAATAGAAACCCTGAGCAGAGACATCAGCAAACACAGATAGATTCTGTAAATTTAGACCAAAAAAATTAGATTAATAGTCCTCAGAAAAATAAAGGATCTAGAATTGTTATAGCATATAATCTAAAATGTATACGTTTCAAACAAAAATTATAAGACACTCAGTAAAATGTGGCTTATACTTATTTGCAGAAGCAGTCAGTAGAAACTGACTCTGAGTGGGTACAAATATTGGATTTAGCAATGACTTAAGAGTAGCTATTATAAATAGGCTCAAAGGTGTAAAGGAAACGCTGAAGAATTAAGGCAAACTAGGATGATAGTGAGTTACTAAATAAGGAATCTTTGTAGTGAAATGGGAACTATTTGAGAAGAAACAAATAGAAAATCTACAGTTGAAAATTACAGTAACTGGAATACACTGAATACCCTTTAGAATACTCGCAATACTCAGAGCTCTTATCAACAGATTTGTGATTGGCAGAAGAAAGAATCATGTCAACATGGGTTGGGTTCTAGTGAGTCCCTTCTTCTGAGTTGCAGTCTGCCTGTTTTTTTTTTGTTTTTTTGTTTTTTTGTTTTTGTATTTTTGTTTTTTGTGTCCTCACAGAAGGAGAGCTAGAGTGCTCTCTGGGGTCTCTTTTATAAGAGCACTCATACTATTCATGAAGACTCTACTATCATTACCTAATTACTTCCCAAAGGCCCCACCTCCTAACACCATTGCACTAAGGATCAGGATTACAACATATGAATTTGGTAGGAAAACAAACATTCAGTCCAAACCACAGGGAAACAACATAACTAATGACTGATTTTTTATCAGAAAAAAAAGGCCAGAAGACAGTGTGCAATGACGTATTTAAAATGTTGAATGAGAAAAAAGTTAATTAAGAATTATTATACATATAAAATATAAATATTTATATATACCTAAAAGTAACCAAGTAATATGATATAATAAAAGTGTCCATTTATCACAAAGAAAGACAGTAAAAGAGGAATAAGAAATGATAAAGTCATGAGATAAAGAAAAAAATAGCAAAATATAAATCCAACCATAACAGTCATAACTTTAAATAGATTAAGCACTCCAATGGAAAGACAGAGATTGCCAAATTGAATACAAAAAGGAAGATCTAACCCTATGTTTACTATAAGAGAAATACTTTAGATCCAAAGACATGCATAGATTGAAAGCAAAATTATTAAAACAGATATACCATTCAAACATTAGCTATAAGTAAGCTGGAATAGCTACATTAATATTAAAGTAGATTTTAAGAGAAGAAATATTACTAATGACAGAAAGAGATTTTTCTACTTGATAAAGTGCCCGACATATCAGGAAGATTAAGCAATTACCAGTCTACATGTGCCTAAAACAGAATCCCTAAATAAATTAAGCAAAATCTTCCAGAATTGTAAGAAAAACAGACAACTCTCAAACTTGGTTATAGTTGGAGATTTCAATATTCTTTTCTCAGTAATTGACAAGCCAACTAAATAGAAAGGAATAAGGGTGTGGAAGTATTGAAAAGAGCTATCATCCAATTTGACCTGATATATAGAGAACCTTTCACTCAGCAATAGCAGAATCCACAGTTTTTTCCATGCACTTGAATCATTCTCCATGATAGACTTTATGCTAGGACATAAAACAAGTTTCAGTAACTTAAAATAGATTGAAATTTTACTAAGTATATCCCCCAACCACAACACATTAAATTGGAAATAAACAACAGGACAAAGTCTGTGCTTAGAGGTAAATTTATAACTTTAAGCACTTACAGTTGAAAGGAAGAAAGATAAATCAATAGTCTAAGCTTTTACTTTAAGAAGCTGGGAAAATAAGAGCAGCAAATCCAATGCCAAAAAAGAAGACAGAAATAATAAAATCAGGGTGGAAATTAAAAAAAAGAGAAAAAATTAGAGAAAATCAATGAGACCAAAGATAATTATTTGTAAAGACGAGCACAGTTGGTAGATATTTAGGCAGACTCATAGAACAAAAGAGAAATAGAAGCTAAAGCAGAAAAAGAGTCAGCCATTATTGTGTTGACTTTGCTTTCACATCTCCCACCTATAGATTGTAGATAGTGAAATTCCCAAGATAAATTTGGAAATCCAAGATTGGAGGCTACCATTGTCTTTATTTGGAAGACAAGGTGATTATAGTTGAACAGATTTTCCCTATGTCCTAATGACACGGACACAATAGAATAGAGATGACTTGAAGGGGTACTGAAGGAATCTGCAGCCTACTGTAATATCAAAGACTTTTGGTATTAATTCAGATGTTCTTCATGCTACCAACAACAGTTTGGAACTTAGCTAAGAAACAACTAATGAGATGATCCCTTAGGATTTGATGAAGGACCCCAAAAGATTGTTTTTCTGGTGAAAAAGACTGTTTATATATTTTAATTGTTAGAATGCGAAGATGGAAATTATATCTTAAAGGATCAGATTCTGATTATTCTCCAGGGAGCACTGAGATATAGTAAGTGGAATATTTAACATTAGGCAAACAGATTCAATCATAGATTCCTCGGTCCTGTTGATGGGACCTTGGCAAAGCCCTGTGACCTCTTTGAGTTTCTTCATCTGTAAGATAAGGATATCCGCTATCTACTTTTACCTAATTCTACAAAACAATAATGACAGTCTGATGTTTAAATGACATAAAATATGTGAAAGTTGTTTTGTAAGTGCTCATAAGCACTGCAAAATATTATTCATCTCTGTATTGTTGCTATTTATTTGTAGATAAGGGTTTTTTTGTAATTTGTCAACTTAAATTTCATTTTTTCTCCAGTTTGCAAATTTTTGCAAGTCTTTCAAACAATTACAGAAATGTACTATTTTACAGCTTCTTTGTAAAAATAATTGAGCTGGGGGATTGTTCACTCTAAGTCCTGTAAGATTTTATTTTCTTATATATTTCTTCTAGACTTAATATACAAGAATAAGTTCACCATTTTCTGCAATTTGTACCTGAGTCTTTATACTATTATATTGATGGACTCATCTCATTTTCCTTCCCCCCGCCCAAATCTGCTACATAATTCATACTAAAATGCAAATGCTCGAAAATGGCTTTAATGGAGAGCTCTATTAAGAGTGTGAATGGGATGGGGAGTGGGATTGGTATTTCACAGAGATCAAACTTTTCACACATACTTTATCCAACCTGCAAATATACTGATTCAGTTGTTCTGGGGTGAGGCTTGGATAGCTGCCTTTTAAGATACAGTATTTTAAAACACTGAAGGATACCCTGATTAGAACCTCTGATTTGAGGGATTAAGCTTTCTGGAATGTTGGGCATCAATCACACAAGTAAAGAGTTTGGAAAGGCATCCTGGCCTGCTTGCTATGTTTAAATCACATCACAGAAATAATTGCTTACTGTCCTTAAAATCTGTCAGCACATACAGCACTTTGACACCTGATGGGCTCCCAAATAACAATAGTTGGGGGGGTTGTCATCAGTGTTACCTTGAGAAATGGAAACACAGTATATTTATTGTCCGTGTATTGTCCCCCTCCTATATATTTATTTATCTTGGTAAAATTGTTAATGTCGATAGGCAGTCATTTACAAAACATAACTCAAGGTAAGCCATATTTTTGTCACTCATTGAATTATGCTTTAACCTGTTACTTCTTCCTCAGAGATTAGATTTAACAGACATGTAATGAAACTACTCAGGTGTTGATGTTCATAATCATCTTGGGTCCATCTAAGTTTTCACAAACTCACATTTTGTTCTTGAAAAAATTATTGGAAATTATAACACAATTTATAGAAATTATGATGAAAAGTTTATGTACTAGGCAAGAATTTCTTGAAAAGTATGTTAATTCCCATAGGATTTGAAGATAACTCTTAGACAAGGGTTACCATATAAGTTGTATATAATTTTAGCATATAGATTAGCAGCCAAATATGGCATATTTTCACAATTTTTTGGTGATGCAAAATTCGTGTGATATTGAGCAGTCTCAACTCTCAACAGACAGTTTTCCCGGTCATGTGGATAGCAGAGTTGACTGGACTTGCTTTACTGGAAGATGAGCAAAGGTGATTTGCTTTAAACAAAAAACAAAAACAAAAACAAACCCTAAAAACAAACGAACAGACAAAAAATACACATGATACTGTTTACGTCTCTGGAAGATTCTGATTTATGCCCAGGTTCACGAAGCACAATAGCGTAAAGTCTATAAAATCTATTAAATAAGGGTTCTTGTTTTTACAAATAAATTTAATAGTTCTCCATTATAAAATGGGCATTTATTAACTGGCTTCTAAGTGCCAGACACTAATCCAGACATTTTCATATCCATTATTTCAATAAGTTATTTTCAGAAATGCAATTTAGTAGGTTAAAAAACAACAAAACAAAAAAACCCTTAAAAAACAATATTAGCGATCTACTTTGGAAGAAATGCAGCATAATGTCTGATCAGAGTCAAAGGAAATAGCTTCAACAGCTACTGTTTTAAAAATGAAACAGGCCTCATCACATTCCTTTCTTGAAAAACCACCAAAATTGTTTTGTTGTTGATTCGTTTGAGAAGTAGTGAGGAAAGGAGGTGAAGGGAGGACAGAATTATTCTATTTTCTTATTATAGGCCTTCTATTCTGTGCTGTATGATGCCAACAGAAACAACTTAAAATATCCAAAGTCCCTCAGAAGGTTGTGAGATACAGCCTTGGTGGGTTTTGCAGTGCTGTGAGGAAATGGGGTCCCATTCCAGGTCTCAGATGCCTGCAGTGCAAAGGCATTAGGTTACTTTCAAGTTTCCTCCTTCCCATTGCTCTTAAATGCACAAATCATGAGATGAGACTCTCAGGGGTGGGGCCCTGGGTATTCTTTTAAAGTTCCTTAGGAGGTCACCATGCAGTCCTCAGTGCCTGGGTATTTGGGAAACACTTCTTCTAAAAGTTTTATTTTAAACTTATTGAAGCATAGGGATATAATGATACAGAATATGTCGAAACTCTTAAAATTCCGGCATTCCTTCTCAGAGCCAAAACCTCAGAGAGTCATTGCAAAAGCTCTCCTTTAATCCCAGGGCTTGATTCATGGAGCACTTACAGTCAGGGCGGCAGCTCTTTCCCAAGAGACTGTGTGGGAAACAGAGTTGGGGAACGACTCAACTTGATATCTGTTCCTACTCACTTCTCTGATATTTAAAAAATAAAAAAGGATAAAGTTGATATTACAGGGAAAAAAGGACCTCTTTTGCCTCTTCATACATTACAGAATCGAAAGTCTGATATAAAAAAACAAACATAATATATCATCTTGTCCATACCCCTACTTAGAGAAGTAAACTTGTGCTTCTCCTCCCCTTATCTCTGATGAGGTTACAGAGATCCCAAGAGGTTAAATCATTTGCCCAAAATTACATGTTGACTCAGTTGCATTCTAATTATTGAGAATGACTTAGAGTATAAACAGCAATCTTTTTAATATTTCACAATTACATATCAGAGTTTTCCATTTGTCTCTGTCATTATCAGTCTTTTGCTGATGTTGAACAGTGTTGTCTCATTTTCCAAAGCAGCAAAGTCCTGACTTCCTTTAGTCTTCCTTCTGCAGTCATCCCCACAGTTCAAGATCCGTGATTATTAGATGGTAAATTCCAAATTCTTATTCCAGTTTTTTCAGCCTGAGCTAGATTATTTTAAAATTAAAGCCGAGTTTCAGACTGACATGAAAAATGTCTTTGGCGTTTCCAAATTTATATACAAAAGCAGATTTATGTGATTTGATATAACTTTATTTATTATTTTCTTTTGTTTGTTTTTTTTTGAGACTGAGTCTCGCTCTGTCGCCCAGGCTGGAGCATAGTGGCGTGATCTCTGCTCACTGCAAGCTCCGCCTCCCAGGTTCACGCCATTCTCCTGCCTCAGCCTCCGGAGTAGCTGGGACTACAGGCGCCGCCACCATGCCCGGCTAATTTTTTGTATTTTTAGTAGAGACGGGGTCTCACCGTACTAGCCAAGATGGTCTCGATCTCCTGACCTCGTGATCCGCCTGCCTTGGCCTCCCAAAGTGCTGGAATTACAGGTGTGAGCCACCGCGCCAGGCTGATATAACTTTATTTTTAAAATTCTTATTCATAGCATCTTGTTCATCAATAGATTGACTTTATATTTGCCTTACAGTCAGTCAAATTAGATCTGAGTAAAGAAGCTTAAAACACTGAATGAAGGGAAAGAATTTATCTATTTTTTTTTTTTTTTTACTTTTTTTTTCTCTTCTGATATCTTTGGTAGGGTTAGAATTTATCTACTCACAAATGAAAGAATTCAGTAATATCACTCATTTATTCAGTTAATCCAGCCCAGGATTTATTAAGAGATTAAATGAAAGTGACAGTAAACACTGAAAAAGGTTAATATATTAATATTCCTAAATCTTAAGTTACCTCTAAATATATCTGTAAAGATAAGTTGGTCTTGACTTGCATTAAGAAAATATTTTAACAAAAAACTGTAAGAGATACTATATGGAAGTTAAGGTTAAATTTTTTTTCCAAGTTAGAATCTAATAATAGATATATTTGTTTTTGATGAGATCTATCTTTGAAAATAGTTTTCTTTGTTCTTTTCCCTCATTTTTATTGATACATTTTATTGATACAATCAGGGAGTCAGATTTAAGTTTTTTTAAAAAGCCAAGTTAAAATATAAAACAAAACCATTTGTTAGTCTATTAGTATCTTTGCAAAACTTCGAATCTTTACTAAAAGATATTATAGGCAGAAACATTTTCTTCTTTATGCATCTTATTAGTTTTTAATCAAATTATTCTTTTAGGCTCACCAGATATATTTAGAAAAATGAATACTTTTAGAAAAATGATGGTTTTGAAAAATATTAATTTAATCAGGGCTTGAATCAAATAAGATATCAGGAAGGACTTTTATTCATGAATGGAGGTAAAAGTAACAAAACTTACTTTGTTGATGCTATTAGGGAGAAGATCTGGTTTCAGCAAAACAGGGAAAAAACAGTAGATAGCGGTGTCATAAATGGAGACCGTCAGGCTTAGATCTTATCAATCTAACTTTAATGGCCTCTGCATTATTTTTTTCTTTTCTTATTATACTTTAAGTTCTGGAATACATGTGCAGAACGTGCAGGTTTGTTACACAGATATACATGTGCCATGGTGGTTTGCTGCACCCATCAACCCGTCATCTATGTTAGGTATTTCTCTTAATGCTCTCTGTCTCCTAGCCCCCTACCCCTCAACAGGCCCATGTGTGTAATGTTTCCCTCCCTGTGTCCATGTGTTCTCATTGTTCAACTCCCATTTATGAGTGAGAACATGCGGTGTTTCGTTTTCTGTTCCTGTGTTAGTTTACTGAGAATGATGGCTTGCAGCTTCATCTATGTCCCTGCAAAGGACATAAACTCATCCTCTTTTATGGCTGCATAGTATTCCATAGTGTATTTGTGCCACATTTTCTTTATCCAGTCTATCATTGATGGGCATTAGAGTTGGTTTCATGACTTTGCTATTGTAAATAGTGCTGCAATAAGCATACGTGTGCATGTGTCTTTATAGTGGAATGATTTATAATTCTTTGGGTATACACCCAGTAATGGGATTGCTGGGTCAAATGGTATTTCTGGTTCTAGATTCTTGAGGAATCACCACACTGTCTTCCACAATGGTTGAACTAATTTACACTCCCACCAACAGTGTAAAAGCATTCCTATTTCTCCACGTCCTCTCCAGCATCTGTTGTTTTCTGACTTTTTAATCATCACCATTGTAACTTGGCCTCTGCATTTTATGTCATGATTAAAAGGCCTTTCTTCTCCACTCCAACATTATCAAGTAATACATCTATGTTTTCTTTGCTTTCCAGTTTTTTTCCCCACTTAGTTTCCCCAGTTTTATCCCCCAACAGGAATTATGTTGGTTTCCAAGTATCTAATCATATCATTTGCAAAGAGGGTTAATTTTACCTCATCCTTTCATGTTTGTAAACTTCTAATATCTTTTTGTGTCATAATTTCAAAGGCTAATACTTGCAGCTCATTAGTCATGGTAATAGCATTCGTCTTATTCCTCATTTTTTCCCCCCACTTAGCTTGCTGATTTCTGGGCTTGATTGTGTGTGTGTGTGTGTGTGTGCGTGCACATGTGTGTGCATGTGCAGATATGTTTGCATATTTTCCACTAATTTGTACATTTTGAGTTTTTTCCTTGTAAATAAAAAATTGGTACAAATTTTATCAAATGCCATTTCAGCATCCAGGAAAATAATCATGTAATTTTTTGCCATAGATCTACAAAAAGAATGAAATATATGAAACTACTTTATAACGTTGAGCCATCCCTGTATGTTTGGAATAAATATTGCTTGTTCTTGATGTATTGTTATTTCAATGTGCTGCTGCAAAGTCTTCACAATATTCTATTTGAGAGTTTCTTAAATAAGGAAAGTTGGTCAACATTTTGTTTGTCCATTTTCAATCTTTTTTATGTTTTAATATCAATGTAATCCACTTTACTCAAATAATTTGAAACTTTAGGCCAGGCATAGTGGCTCACACCCCAGCACTTTGGGAGGCTGAGGCAGGAGGATCACTTGAACCCAGGAGTTTGAGATCAGCCTGGGCAACATGGCGAAACCTCGTCTCTACAAAAAAAAAAAAAAAAAAGTACCCAGGTGTGGTGGTGCACACCTGTAGTCCTAGCTACCTGGGAGGCTGAGATGGGAGGGTCACTTGAGCCCAGGAGGTCGAAGCTGCAGTGAGCTGTGATTATGCCACTGCACTCCAGCCTTTGTGGTGGAGTGAGACCTTATCTTAATTTTTTAAAACTTAAAAAAATAATAATTTGAAACTTTATTTTTTAATGTGCTGTAGAATAATTTGCATAATAATTATTTGTTCTAGAGTTTGGAAGGATTATCTTTGAGAGTATCAAGCCCTAATTTTTTTTATTTTGGGGATAGATTTTTTATATCTAACTATTTGACTAATTTTTTTTCAGGATTTGTGTATATACTCTTGTCAGCGTTGGAAAATTGTATCTTCTAGAAATGTTCTATCTTATCCAAATTTTAAACTCATGGCTCTGAGTGTTAGGAAAGTAGTCTCTTCAAAAAATTACCCTGCTTCTATGCTTATTATCTCCTTGTCATGTATTTTAACATGCACATAGATTTCTTCCTTCTTTTATTCTTGATTAGGATAGTGAAGGTTTTAATCCATTTTATTGATTTAATAAAAGCTTTTTAAATTACTTTTATTGTTTTATTTTTTAGTTTTAATCTTGTCTGTTCCCTTCTTTATATAATTTCTGCTTTTGTTTCTATATTCATTTTTCTTTTTTATGGTAAAAAGTTTATATACAAAGTCAGTATACGATGTGTTCATTACTTTTCAAATATTTTGAATTTTTGGCTTATAGTTCTTTAAAGTTTTTTATGAAAGAATTTTAATTTTTTAATTTAAAGAATTATGTTCAAGTGGAAGCATTTTTTGTCTCTTATTTTGTATTAATTTCTTGTTTTATTATATTATAATCAGGAATGCTTTCTGTATTTCTAACTTTTTTGAAATTATGAAACCTTTTTTATGATCTAATATATGATTTTTTAAATGACTATGTCATGAGCCCTTGTACCTATAATCAGGGAAAATGTTTGCATATATGCATGAGATCTACTTTTAAAAAATATGTTGTCTTTATTACACTTACTTTATTACTCTTACGAAATCAAAATGATTTGGATAAATAATTTTTACATTTTAGCATGCTTTTTTTCTCATTTTTTGACATGGTTGCAAATAGCATGCAGATATTTACTGTAGGATTTCCAGATAGTGTTTTAACTTAACCACAATTTGTTAAAAGTTGAAGGTCAAACAATTGCCCTGTTGTTAAGAGGGCAGATTCTGGACATGGAATTCCCCAAACAATGTAGCATTTATAATTTCAACACCAATTCTTACTTCATGGACATCTTCCCTCTCTCCAATAAAAGCCTATGAAAAACTTGTCAATTATCTTGTTATTCTTTTAAAATGAACGTCATAGTTCAAGTTGTTGAAAGTTACCACCATAGAGACCTATTTGTTTGGAATATGACTCCTGTCTACTTAGGGTCAAATTCCGTACGTTCAAAACATGTGTGGCACTCTTTTCCCACAAAAAAACGCTTTCCCCTACTTCATCACATCTCATTGTACTTGTGTAAGTGGGCACATCTATTATGCATAGTGAGGGCTCAAAAAGGTGAAGAGGATCTTAGAGGAAAGTGATTACTCTGGATCTCATACAAAATATATGTGTTCTATGCAAGTGAAAGATGCAAATAAAAAAATTATAACTAAAGGTCTTTGTGAAAGAAGAAAGCAAGAGATTTAAAAAGTATTTTCTTTTCTATGCCTAATCTTGTGCTTATTTACAAATATTGGGGTATTACTATTGCTTATTTGAAACAAACTCACTTGATTTAAAAAAAAACACATAGAATTTAAAAATACTTAAGACAGTTTTAAAAACCTTGTGCTAAGAATTGAATGGTATTCACAAATGATTCAGCAAGTCATGATAAAAAAATATGATGAGGACATAGAGATAAAATTTACAAAAGGGAAATACATCTGACCTATAATTATATAGAAAATTGACCATAACTGTGAAATACTATATTATGTCCCTGCATAACACTGCTGAAGTTCTTTTTTAAAAAGGTAATATTTAATGATGGTAAGGATGTGGCACAGAGGACAATATGATAGACTGCTGATGGGATTATAAACTGGTGCAACACATTTGTGAAGAAATTTGGACATGTACATAATGACAAAATAACAATAAACTACTACTTTACGTCCAAAAGAAATACTTGGCGATAAGTATACATCTTTATATACAAGTACGGTCATTGAAACATTATAACAAACAAACTCAACCTTATGCCTTGGCTCAAATTGAATGTCCACTAATGAGAAAGAAAAGTTTAATGAATTGTAGCACACTGACCAAGTGGAGGATTATGTAGTCACATAAAATCAGTGTTCTTGAAGGCAATTTATAAGCATTGAACAATGCACATGGTGTAACATCGCGTCCAGAATTGGTGGGTTCTTGGTCTCGCTGACTTCCAGAATAAAGCCACGGACCCTTGCTGTGACTGTCACAGTTTTTAAAGGTGGCCTGTCTGGAGTTTGTTCCTTCTGATGTTCGGATGTGTTCGGAGTTTCTTCCTTCTGGTGGGTTCGTGATCTCGCTGGCTCAGGAGTGAAGCTGCAGACCTCGCGGTGAGTGTTACAGCTCTTAAGACAGCATGTCTGGAATTGTTGGTTCCTCCTGGTGGGTTCGTGGTCTCACTGGCTTCAGGAGAGAAGCTGCAGACCTTTGCAATGAGTGTTACAGCTCACAAACGCAGAGTGGACCCAAACAGTGAGCAGCAGCAAAATTTACTGCAAAGAGCAAAAGAACAAACCTTCCAAGGTGGGGTAAGGAACCTCAGCAAATTGCTACTGCTAGCTCGGGCAGCTTGCTTTTATTCTCTTATCTGGCCCCACCCACATCCTGCTGATTGCTCCATTTTACAGAGAGCTGATTGGTCTGTTTTACAGAGAGCCGATTGGTCCGTTTTGACAGGGTGCTGATTGGTGCGTTTATAATCCCTGAGCTAAATACAAAAGTTTTCCATGTCCCCACTAGATTAGCTGGATACAGAGTGTCCATTGGTGCATTTACAAACCTTGAGCTAGATACAGAGTGACGATTGGTGCATTCACAATCCCTTAGCTAGACATAAAGATTCTCCAAGTCCCCACCAGACTGACTAGGTACAGAGTGCCCATTGGTGCATTCACAAATCCTGAGCTAGACACAGGGTGCTGACTGGTATGTTTACAAACCTTGAGCTGGATACAGAGTGCTGATTGGTGTATTTACAATACCTTAGCTAGACATAAAGGTTCTCCAAGTCCCCACCAGACGCAGGAGCCCAGCTGGCTTCACCCAGGGGATCCCGCACCCGGGCAGCCGGTGGAACTGCCTGCCAGTCCCCCGCCGTGAGCCCACACTCCTCAGCCGTTGGGCGGTCGATGGGACTAGGCGCCTTGGAGCAGGAAGCGGCGCTCATCAGGGAGGCTCGGGCTGTGCAGGAGCCCAGGGCAGGGCGGGGAGGCTCAGGCATGGCGGGCTGCAGGTCCCGAGCCCTGCCCTGCGGGGAGGCAGCTAAGGCCCGGCGAGAAATCGAGCACAGCAGCTGTTGGCCCAGGTGCTAAGTCCCTCACTGCCTGGGGCTTGCTGGCCTGCCGGCCGCTCGGAGTGCTGGGGCTGCCGAGCCCACGCCCACCCGGAACTCTAGCTGCACCGCAAGCGCCGCGCATAGCCCGGGTTTCTGTCCGTGCATTTCCCTCCACACCTCCCGGCAAGCTGAGGGAGCCGCCTGGGCCTTGGCCAGCCCAGAAAGGGGCTCCCAGAGTGCAGAGGCGGGCTGAAGGGCTCCTCAAGCGCGGCCAGAGTGGGCGCCAAAGCCGAGGAGGCAGCGAGAGTGAGTGAGGGCCGCCAGCATGCTGTCACCTCTCAACATTACATAAAGTAAAATCTAGCTGCATGCTTCTATTTGCATATTATATACAGACAAAGAGCATGCGGTAATATTGCAAGGAACACATTCCCCCCCACTGGTAAATTCTCTCAAACATGTAGCGAAGAAATAACAGATGTGGGAATTGTAAGAAAATTCTTAGAGAATTTTTAGAAAATGAAGGAAACAATTCCCAGATCATTCTATGAGTTCAACATTACACTGATAACCAAAACTGAGGATAGGAGGAGGTGGGAAGGAACTCTTTTCTTTTTTCTTTTGGTTTTTTGTTTTTTTTAGGGTTAAGGATTTAGGATTAAGTTAGACTTTTTTTTTTTTTTTAACATTTTTTGTATAATTTCAACTTTTCTTTTAGATTAAGGGAATACATGTGCAGGTTTGTTACGTGGGCATATCACATGATGATGAGTTTTGGGGTATGAATGATCCTGTCACCTAGGTAGTGAGTATTGAACCTAACAAGTTTTCAATGCTTTCCCCCCTCCTTCCCTTCCTCTCTCCTCTATTAGTTCCCAGTGTATATTGTTGCATGTTTATGCCCATGAGTACCCAAAGTTTAGCTCCCACTTAGAAGTGAGAACATGTGGTATTTGCTTTTCTGTTTCTCCATTAATTTGCTTAGAATAATGGCTTCCAGCTGCATTCATGTTTCATTATTTTTTATTGCATGTAGTATTCCTTGGGGTATGTGTACCACATTTTCTTTATCCAATTCACCACTGATGGCTACCTAGGTTGATTCCATGTCTTCGCTATTGTAAATAGTGCTGCAATGAATATATAAGTGCATATGTCTTTTGGGTAGAACAACTTATGTTATTTTGGGTATACACCTAGTAATGGGGGTCAAATGGTGGTTCTGTTTTAAGTTCTTTAAGTTCCGCAAACTGCTTTCTACAGTGGCTGAATTAATTTACATTCACACCAACAGTGTATAAACATTCCCTTTTCTCTGCAGCCTTGCAAGTATCTGTTGTTTTTGTACTTTTTAGTAATAGCTATTCTGACTGATGTGAGATGGTATCTCATTGTGGTTTTGATTTGCATTCTTCTGGTGATTATTAATGTTGAGCATTTTTTCATGTTTATTGGCCACTTGTATGTTTTCTTTTGAGAAGCATCTGTTCCTATCTTTTGCCCACTTTTTAATGGGGTTGTTTTCTGATGTTGAATTGTTTAAATTCCTTATAGATTCTGGATAATGGAACTTTGTTGAATGCAATGCAGTTTGTGGATATTTTCTCTCAGTCTGGAGGTTGTCTGTTTACTCTGTTGATAGTTTCTTTTTCTGTTCAGAAGTTCTTTAGTTGGTTCTCACTTGCCAATTTTTGTTTTTATGCAATTGCTTTTGAGGACTTAGTCATAAATTCTTTTCAAAGGGTAGTGTCCAGAATGGTATTCCTAAGTTTTCTTCTAGGATTCTTGTAGTTTGCAGTCTTACATTTAAATCTCCAACCCATTTTGAATTGATTTTTGTACATGGGTCTAGCTGCATTCTTCTACATAAAGCTAGCTAGCTATCCTAGCACCATTTATTGCATAGGGAGTCCTTTCCCCATTGCTTGTTTTCGGTGATTTTGTCAAAGATCAGATGGCTATAGGTGTGTGGCTCTATTTCCGGGTTCTCTATTCTTTTTTGTACCAGTACTATGCTGTTTTGGTTACTAGAGTCTTATATAATAGTATAGTTTGAAGTTGGGTAATGAGATGCTTCTGACTTTGTTCTTTTTTGTTTAGAATTGTTTTGACCATTTGGGCTCTTTTTTGGTTTCATATGAATTTTAGAATAGTCTTTTCTAGTTCTGTGAAAAACGACATTGGTAGTTTGATAGGAATAGTGACAAATCTGTAAATTGCTTTAATAATTTGATTCTACTAATCCATGATCATGGAATATTTTTCCATTTATTTGTGTCATCTATGATTTCTTTCAGCAGTGTTTTGTAGTTCTCCGTGTAGAGATCTTTTACCTTCTTGGTTTGATGTATTCCTAGGTAATTTATTTTTGTGTGTGTGTATCTATTGTGAATGGGATGGTATTCTTGATTTGGCTTTCAGCTTGAATGTTACTGGTGTACAGAAATGCTACTGATTTTTGTACATTGGTTTGGTATACTGAAGCTTTAATGAAGTTGTTTATCAGTTCCAGGAGCCTTTTGGTGGAGTCTTTAGAGTTCACAGTTATAGAATCATATCATCCATGAAGAGAGATAGTTTGATTTCTCCGTTTCCTATTTGCATGCATTTTATTCTTTCTCTTGCCTGATTGCTCTGGCTAGGAATTCAGCACTATGTTGAAGATGAGTGGTGAGAGTGGGCATCCTTATTTTGTTCCATTTCTCAGGGAGAATGCTTCTACCTTTTTCCTGTTCAGTATGATGTTGCCTGTGGGTTTGTAATAGATGGCTATTATTATTTTGAGGTATGTTCCTTTAATGCCTAGTTTGTTGAGGGTTTTTTTTTTAATCATGAAGAGATGTTGGATTTTATTGAAGGCTGATTCAACATCTATTAGGATGTCGTACGTTTTTTGTTTTTAATTCAGTTTATGTGGTGAATCCCATTTATTGATTTGCATATTTTGAACCAAACTTGCATCCCAGAAATGAAGCCTATTTGATCATAGTGAATTAGCTTTTTGATGTGCTACTGGATTTGGCTTGCTAGTGTTTTGTTTACCTTTTTTTGCATCTATGTTCATCATGGATATTGGCCTGTGGTTTTCTTTTTTCGTTGTGTCTTTGTCAAGTTTGAGTATCAGGATAATGCTGGCTTTGTAGAAAGAGTTAAGTAGGAAGAAGTCCCTCCTCAATTTTTTTTGTTTTTGGAGTAGTTTCAGTAGAATTGGTGCCAGCTCTTCTTTGTACACCTTATGGAATTTTTCTGTGAATCCATCTGGTCTGGGGCTTTTTTGTTCTGTAGGTTTTTTTATTACTGATTTAATTTTGGAACTCAATATTGATCAAGGTTTCAATTTCTTCCTGATTCAATCTTGATAGGTTGTGTGTTTCCAGAAATTTATACAGTTTCTCTAGATTTTCCAGTTTGTGTGCATGGAGGTGTTCATATAATCTCTGAGGATCTTTGTATTTCTGTGGGATCAGTTGTAATGCCACCTTTGTCTTTCTGATCGTGCTTATTTGGATCTTCTTTCATGTTTTCTTTGTTAATCTAGCTAGTGGTCTACTGATCTTGTTTATCCTTTCATAGAACCAACTTTTGGTTTATTTGACTCTTTGTATGGATTTTTGAGTCTCAGTTTCATTCAGTTCTGCTCTGATTTTGTTATTTATTTTCTTTTGCTAGCTTTGGGATTAGTTTGTTCTTGTTTTTCTATTTCCTTTGGTGTGATGCTAGGTCATTAATTTGACATCTTTCTAACTTCTTGAGGTAGGCATTTAGTGCTATAAGCTTTTCCGTTAACACTGCTTTTGCAGTGTCTCAGAGATTTTGGCATGTCATGTCTCTGTTTTCACTTATTTCAAAGAACTTTTAAGTTTCTGCCTTAATTTCACTGTTTATAAAAAGTCATTCAGAAGCAAATTGTTTAATTTCCATGTAATTTTGCAGTTTTGGGAAAACTTCTTGTTATTGATTTCTCTTTTCATTCCACTGTGGTCTGAGAGTATCATTGGTATGATTTCAATTTTTTTTTAATTTATTGAGACTTGCCTTATGGCTGAGCATGTGGTTGATCTTGGAGTGTGTTCCATGTGCAGATGAGAAGGATATATATTTCAGGGTTGATGGGTGGAGTGTTCTGCAGATGTTTATTAGATCCAATTGATCAAGTGTCAAATCTAAGTCCAGAGTTTCTTTGTTAGTTTTAAGCCCAGAATTTATTTGTTAAATAGATTATCTATCTATCACTGTCCATGAGGTGTTGAAGTCCTCCACTATTATTGTGTGGCTAAGTCTTTCCATAGGTCTAGAAGAAGTTTCATGAATCAGGGTGCTCCAACATTGGGTGCATATGTATTTAGGATATTTAAGGCTTCTTGTTGACTTTAACTCTTTATCATTTGTAATGTCCTTCTTTATTCAAAATTTAACCAGTGTTGGTTTAAAGTCTTTATCTGATATAAGAATAGCAACCTGTGTTCTTTTTTGTTTTCTGTTTACATGCTAGATCTTTCTTCAACACTTGGCTTTGAGCCTATGGGTATTGTTACATGTCAGATGGGTCTCTTGAATACAGCAGAAGGATGGGTCTTGTTTTTTTTATCCAACTTGCAACTCTGTGCCTTTTAAGTGGGATATTGAGACCATTCACATTCAAAGTTAATACTGATATGTGAGGTTTTAATCCTATCATGAAGTTGTTCACTGGTTGCTTTGTAGTTTCTACTGTGTGTGCTTTATAGGGTCTGTGGGCTATGTACTTAAGTATGATTTTGTGGTAGGAGGTATCATTCTTTAGTTTCTATGTTTAGAGATCCCTTAAAGATCTTTTGTAAGGCTGGTCTAGTGGTCTTAGCACTTGCTTGTGTGGAAAATATTTTATGCTCCCTCACTTATGAAGCTTAATTTGGTGGGATATAAAATTCTTTATTGAAATATCTTTTTTAAAGAATGCTGAAAATAGGCCTCCAGTCTCTCCTGGCTTATAAGAATTCTGCTGAGACATCTGCTGTTAGCTAAATGTAGTTCCCTTTGTATGTGATCTGACCTTTTTCTTTAGCTGCCTTTAAGATTCATTTATTTAGTGTTGACTTTGTATAGTCTTGTGACTATATGCCTTGGTAATGTTCATTTTGTATAGTATCTCGCAGGTGTTATCTGGATTTCTTGTATCTGGATATCTACCTCTCTAGCCAGATAGGGAAATTTTCTTAAATTATTCCCTCAAACATGTTTTACAGGTTGTTTGCTTTTTCTTCTTTTTTCTCAGGAATGTTAATAATTCATAGGTTTGGTCACTTTACATAGTCTCCTATTTTTCAAAAACTTCATATTTTAAAATTCTTTTTTTCTGTATTTTTGTCTGATTGGGTTAAAGATTGGTCTTCAAATTCTGAAATTCTTTCTTCTGCTTGGTCAGTTGATAAAACTTTCAATTGCATTTTGAAATTCCTTGAGTGAATTTTTCAATTCCAGAGGCTCTGATTTAATTTTCAAAGATGTTTATCTCTTATTTCTTTTTCTGGATTGATTTATAAATTTCTTTGTGTTGATATTCAATCTTAGGTTGGATCTCATTGAGCTTCCTTGCAATCTATGCTTTGAATTATTTATGGAATTTCTGAGTTTCCATTTTGTCTAGGGCCCATTACTGGAGAACTAGTGTGAACCTTTGGTGATGTCACTACACTCAGATTTTTCATTGTACAAGAATTCTTACACTGATTCCTTCTCATTTGGAAATGCTGGCACTTCTAATTTTTATAGTTATTTTCATGCAAATTGTTTTTCCCTTTTCTTTCTTTATCTAGAATATTATTGAATTTTTGTTTGTTTATTTTCCTTTCCCTTTCTGCTGTGCTCTAGGTAGTGTGACTGTAGAAAATTCTGGGTAGAATACTTTGGCTTTGCTTCTATAGCCCTACGTACTTCTTTTGGCACTTTTTTTTCTTTTTTTTTTTGAGACAGAGTCTCTCTCTGTCACCCAGGCTGGAGTGCAGTTGCATGATATTGGCTCACTGCAGCTTCCACCTCCTGGGTTCAAGCAATTCTTCTGCCTCAGCCTCCTGAGTAGCTGGGACTACAGACATGCACTGCCATGCCCGGCTAATTTTTTGGTATTTTTAGTAGAGAGGGGGTTTCACCATGTTGGCCAGGATGGTCTTGATCTCCTGACCTCGTGATCCACCCACCTCAGCCTCCCAAAGTGCTAGGATTACAGGCGTGAGCCACTGCACCAGCCTTTTGGAGTGTTTTATATTGAGCTGTGTGGTTTGACTTATAAGTCAGTAGATGGTGCTTATGGATGAGAGCCGCTGAGGTGAATGTGGCTGAGTATATACTTGATCCTTGTTTACCAGGGCACGCTCTCAGTTTCATCAGGCAGTGGTCTTGTTGTTGGAGTGCACAGTGGTCTGGGCTCCTTGCTCATCCTGGAAGTGGGCAGGGAGCAAGATGGACAAGGTGGGATTGAGCAGGACCACCTATAGATTCCCCAGTGTAAGGCACAAGCCCTGGTGCTGAGGGAGAATCCAGTGGGCAGCCACCCATCACCAAGAGGTGTGCCTAGGTATGGAGCTAGGACACCTCCTTGGCCTCAAGTTTTCTGCATGGTCAGGGGAGCAGCCTAAACTCCTAACCCAGGAAAGTGGTTGCTCCAAATGCCTGGAGATCTGCCTGAGTGTAGAGTCTAGAGGGACCCACTGCACCTCAATCTGCACAGGAATGGTGTGGCTGTTCAGGTTTATAATCCAGCCTAATATGCGCTCCAACTGCCTGGAGTTATGCCTGGTCATAGGGTAGAGAGGGTCCCGCTTCACTATAGACTCTGCACAGGGAGGGTGGGCCAGCTCAGGCTGCTGATTTGTGTGAGCAAGGCTCTAAGTTCTTGGAGATCTGCCTGGGCAGGAGTAGAGAAGGGTCTGCTTCACCACAATCTCTGCACAGGAAAGATGGAGCAGCACGGTCTGTTGATTGAGATGAGTGGTTGCTCTGAATTCCTGGAGATCTGTCTGGCCATGAGGTGAAGAGGGTCCTCCAGCACCAGGATCTCTGCACAGGAAGGGTGGGGTGCCTCAGGTTGCTAGTCCATGACAGCAAGTGCTCCAAATGCCTGGATATCTGCCTGGAGGTGAAGTAAAGAAGGCTCTGTTGCACCTTGATCTGTGCACAGGAAGGGTGGGGGTGACTCAGGCTGCTGGTGCAGGCAAGTGTGTGCTCTGAATGCCTGGAGTCCTTCCTGGGGGTGGAGTGGAAAGGGCCTTGCTGCACCACTGTCTCAGGAGAGGAGGCTGGGACACCCAGCAATGACACAGGCAGACCAATTCCAGGTTGCCAAGCTGGCCCTGTTTGGAAGTCTTACAGCCTAGGAGAAAGTACAGCAGTAGCAGCTCTTCTTCTGCTTTAGGCTTGCAATGGGGAGGACACAATTCTAGTGCCTACTGCTGAGGCACTAAGAGATACATTCTTACACACATGCATAAAAAGTAACAATGTTATTGGATATAAAATTCCAAAATGTTAATAGTAGATATTTCTAGATGATAGAATTTTATCACCTGGATTTTCTCTTTATATTTTGTGTTTTCCACAATTTCTTTACTAAGTACATGTAAGAAAAAAAATTAAGTGTGGTTTTTATTGAGGGAAGCTGTTACAATCGTTTGCTTCTGATTTTAGTTCATCATTAATCATTGGTGCAAAATTATCAGACAAACCAGTAATTACTTTATTGCATTCAATTTTGTAATACAGTCTCTGTGAACAGTCAGATTCACATATTTAGCATATTATCTCTTCACTTCTTTCCCAGTGATTAGTTTCAATCTGCATTCTAAAACACCTGCACTGTGTGTGAAGTCAGAAAGCAAAAGGGCTCTGTATCCCACTATATTGCTAAAAAATGGAGAATAAAGAAAAAGAAAATTATCCATGGCATCCTTAGTAAGAATTAGTTAAATAAATAGCAATCACAAAAAACAGCACCAAGTACATTAGTTGCAATGAAGCACGTACAGAAAAGAATTTTCTCTTCAATGTACCATTTACTAAGAGTATAATGGAAAATTAATGAGATCTGCATTTTTATAGAATTGTCTAACCAAAGTATTAAAGAGGTGAGAATTTTCTGTTTATTTATTAAAAGCAATACTAATCTGAAGACTTGTTAAGGCTGGCACTTGTGCCATCTTAGTTTGCATTGTCAGTGTATGGGTGTGTTGTTATGCTGCTTTATTAGCCACATGGAACTTGACTAAATGATTATTTCAAGACAGCACAGGAGATCTGGTAACCCCAAGTAGACATCGCCTTAAATTGTTAACTCACCTTAGAACCATCTGTGTAATGACAATGGGAATGATGAATCAGCAGAATCAGATCCATCTGCATAAGTGGTTTTTAACCTAACACACAGATTTTGGGGGTAGGGTATTACCAATCTTCTCCAGATTTTTGCAGATACAGCACACATATGCCTGATCTAATCCTTCTTTAGGAAATATTGCGAAATATAGACCATACCATTAGCTGGATCTAGGTACACTCTTTTGTAGCATTGTCAATTTTCATATCAAAAGTTTCCCTATTGTAGGATTTCAGACAGCTATCAATTGGTATTATAGCCATAATATTTAAATTTAAAACATTTTTTAAAGATAAAAAAAGTCCCTAAAAGGACACTAGTAAAGATGTGTGTTTATTTACTTGACTCTACTTTTAACACTTAGAAGGTGTTATTTTAAGGATATCTGTGTGATTCCTTTTTTTCTCAGAAGGAAGTGTATTGGCCACTGTTTGGTACACTTGAAAACAGAACTTTTAGCTGACCATCTTGTAATTATGAGACAAAGGTATATTTTCAGGCGTAAATAAAATATTATGCAAAAATGAGCAGTAATTCAAAACATTGTCAAATTAATATTGAAAGTACAACATTCTGTTACAACTGATGTCTGAGAACTGTCAAATGTAAAGACATCTTCATAGCAAGCTACAAAGTACATTTCCTGAATTACCCAGATTGGTTTTATACAAATGAAACTCAGTTTACATTTGCTTAATCTCTCAAGTTATTGGGAATTCACTTGATTTGGAACTGAAAAAGTGGTAAAAATGTTCATCTTATTTAGTTATTATTTAACTCTTATAACACTAAGGCAGTATTAGCTGCTGTACAAAGCAAATTATAATAGTCATTCAAGAGTCTGCATTTAAAACCATCTTTGTTTAATGTAGGAATTGAGATAAATGAATGTTTCTAAGTTGCCTCATTTATCATACAAGATTATAGTCATAGAATCTCAAGAAGATAATATCCCCAAATAAATTTTTCATCAACTTAGAATTTACAGTCTCCAAAAATAAGATTTTTCTCTCCTAGGTATAATTCTTGCCATTTCAAAATTCAGTATACTAGATTTTAATAAACAGTCTGATCCTATTATTGATGTTTGAGGGCAGATAGCTTTCAAGTTCCATCCCTGCCCTTCCCCTCTGTCCTACATCTGGATAAGCTGATAAGAAAATCTAGTTTATTCCTCCTTTGGCACCAACTGCCGAAAAATGTTGTTAATTTTTTCTCTTTTCCACATATTTTAGTGTATGTCTTCTAAAAATATTTTTATGTAGTTTTAGGAATGAGAGAAATTAGATATGTGTATGTTCAATCCATTATTTTTATCTGGCCATCTACCTCTTCAGCTGCTATTCTTGCATCAGGTCCTAATCTGAAGTCTACAAGAATACCCACAGCTAACAAAGATTCATCATGACCCAAGACTGTGATGATTTCAGATATGTATTTCTGTATTATCAAGACTGGGAGGGGCTACTATACGCCTAAAATTAAACTGGTAACAAGAAATCTCCACCTATGACTCCTGTCACACTCAGAACACATGAGGAAGCTTATAATTCTGAATTAAAGTAGGATCCCCAAATCAGTTGTTAGTTTTGACAACTTTGGAACCAACCATAGGGTGGCTGATATGGACTGAATGTTTGTGTCCTCCCACCCCCTCAAATTCATACATTGAAACCCTAATTCCAAAAGTGATGGTATTTAGAGATGCGGTCTTTGGGAAGTAGTTAGGGTTAGATTAGGTCCTGATAATAGGGCCTTTGTGACAAGACTAATGACTTTATAAGAAGACTCTAGATCTCTCTCTCTCTCTTCTCTCTTTGCATGTACTAACAGAAGAAAGGCCATGTGAAGACACGGTGAGAAGACGGCCATCTGAAAGTCAGGAGGAGTATCCTCTTGAGAACTGAATCAAGCTAGTACTTTGATCTTGGACTTCCAGCCTCCAGAACTGTAAGAAATAAATTTCTGTTGTTTAAGCCGCTCACTCTATGGTATTTTGTGATGGTAGCCTGAGGAGAGTGGGATAGTTGCCAAAATTGTCTGTGGGACTATTTATGATAAAATAAGCTGTTATAATTTTTTTCTGCTATCTCTAGCTCTTTGGCTGAGCTTGGCATGCTGGACTTTAAGAGATAAACACTTAACCAGGAGAAACAACTGGAGATTAATTATTAGTAGAATGTGTACTCAGAAAGCCATGTAGGCTTGAGAGAGAAGTGAAAACATTTCTGTCCTGAATCTCCCAGCTGGCGGCATTTTACTGCAGCCAGGTGACTGAATATTTTTAAGGAGGAGCTGGAAACACCCATCAAAAAAAAAACTTTTTTCATGACACACACTGACTCTTGAAAGAATGCTATAAGATGGCCATCTCTTACAAAGGGATGGGTATATAACTATCATGCCCCTAGTCAGAGAGTTGTACTAAAGAGCTGGGTTATTTGAAAGAAGAACTTGAAGGAAGTGCGAGGCTGAAACCAGACCAAAATGAGTCATGGAGTGAGTAGGAGAAAATAAAGTGATTGCATCCAGTAAAAACCGTTCTGCTAAGCACTTTAGATTTGGAGGAAACCGGGGAAGGAAGCAGTTTAAATGACGGAAAAGACTAGGGAAGGGTTATATTTTTTCTAAGATAAGGAATTTAAATTTGTTTGTAAAAGGAAAGGAAAGGTCCAGTAGAGAAGGGAGGTATAAGGTAAAAATAAGTGAACATAATTAAGAGAGAAATTTCTCAAAGCAGACAGGAAGGGACGGAACTCAAAGTATAGGTGGAAGAGATTAACTTTGGACACAAGTGGGGACAGAATGAAATGAGATAAGAATGCTTCAAGATAAACTTGACATGGAGGGGAGGGTATTTAAAGGAATCCAAATCTGACGGTATTTTCTTCTTTAAATTGGAGACTTTGTTTTCTGTTGAGTGAGAAAACTGACATTTAGATTAAATACAATAAAAATAACATTGTAACAACTGATAAGGAATGGGATGATATGAGTAAGGTTGAATACTATCTTTGTGCAGCAGTATTGATGAAAAAGCCACAAGTCTTATCGTCTTATCTTTGCAGGCCTAGTAAACCTTGGTGGGACCAGTCTGAACATTTTTTTCACCATTTTCTTTTGTGGGTCTAATGCTGAGCTCTCATTCAAAAGTGCTATTGAGAAACAGACCTTTATAATAAATAAGAACTCAGTGATGCACTGACTTTAATGGAGTGATCACTATAATGGAAGGCAATTAAAATTGGAAATAGATGTTTGTTTGCTGGCTATGGCATTTGCAGCATGATCTTGAGCATGCCAAGTAGACTCTGAAACTCAGTTTGCGTTTCTGTATGTGTGTATACTTGTTAATAGTTATTTATTGTTTTGGCATCAGTTTTTGTTAATAAATTTTTGTCGTGTTTGAATATCAGAACAACAAAGCCTTCATAAAATTGATTTGGCAAATTCCCCTTTTCTCTAATTCCTGAGACAATTTTATTTAACTTTTATTTTAAGTTCAGGGGTACATGTGCAGGTTTGTTGCATAGGTAAACTTGTGTCATGGGGGTTTGCTATATAGATTATTTAATCACGCAGGTATTAAGCTTAGTGCCTATTAGTTGTTTTTCCTGATCCTCTCCCACCTCCCACCCTCCACCCTCCGAAAGGCCCCAGTGTGTATTCCCCTCTATGTGTCCATGTGTTCTCATCATTTAGCTCCCACTTACAAATGAGGACATGTGGCATTTGGTTTTCTGTTCCTGTGTTGGCTTACTAAGGATCATGGCCTCCAGCTTCATCCATGTCCCTGCAAAGAACATGATCTCGTTTTTTGTCATGGTTGCATAGTATTTCATGGTGTATATGTACTACATTTTCTTTATCCAGTGTATTATTGATGGGCATTTAAGTTGATTCCATATCTTTGCTATTGTGAAGAGTGCTGCAGTGAACTTACAGGTTCATGTGTCTATAACAGAATGATTTTTATTCCTTTGGGTGTATACACGGGAATGGAATTTCTTAGTCGAATGATATTTCTGTCTTTAGGTCGTTAAGGAATCACCACACTGTCTTCCACAATGGTTGAAGTAATTTACACTCCCACCAACACTATGTAACTGTTCCTTTTTCTCCACAACCTACCAGCATCTGTTATTTTTTGACATTTTAATAATAGCCATTCTGACTAGTGTGAGATGGTATCTTATTATGGTTCTATTCCCTAATTATCAGTGATATTGAGCTTTTAATTCACGTACTTGTTGGCTGCGTGTATGTCTGTCTTGGAGAAGTGTCTGTTCATGTCCTTTGCCCACATTTTTTATAGGATTATTTTGTTTTTATTTTTGTAAGTGTAAGAAGATACTGAACTTTAAACCTTTGTCAGATGCATAGTTTGCAAAAATTCTCTCCCATTCTGTAGGTTGTCTATTTACTCTGTTCATAGTTTCTTTTGCTGTGCAGAAGCTCTTTGGTTTAATTAGATCCCACTTGTCAATTTTTGCTTTTGTTGACATTGTTTTTTGGTGTCTTTATCATGAAATCTTTGCCTGTGCCTGTGTCCTGATTGGTATTGCCTAGATTGTCTTCCAGGGTTTTTATAGTTTTGGGTTTTACATTTAAGTCTTTAATCCATCTTGAGTTAATTTTGTATATGGTGAAAGGAATGGGTCCAGTTTCAATCTTATGTATATGGCTAGCCAGTTATCCCAGCACCATTTATTAAATAGGGAACCCTCTCCCAATTGCTTGTTTTTGTCAGGTTTGTCAAAGATCAGGTGATAGGGGTGTGGCCTTATTTCTGAGGTCTCTGTTCTGTTCCATTGGACTATATGTCTGTTTTTGTACTAGTACCATGCTGTTTGGTTACTGTATCCCTGTAGTATAGTTTGAAGTTGGGCAGCATGATGCCTCCAGCTTTGTTCTTTTTGCTTAGGATTGCCTTGGCTATTCAGGCTCTTTTTTTGTTTCATATGAATTTTAAAGTAGTTTTCTCTAGTTCTGTGAAGAATGTCAGTGGTAGTTTCATAGGAATAGCATTGAATCTCTAAATTGCTTTGTGCAGTATGGCTATTTTCATGATATTGATTCTTTGTATCCATGAGCATAGAATGTTTTTCCATTGGTTTGTGTCATGTCTAATTACTTTGAGAAATTGTAGTTTTAGTTGTAGAGTTCTTTCATCTCCCTCGTTAGCTGTATTCCTAGGTATTTTATTCTTTTTGTGGCAATTGTTAAGAAGAGTTTGTTCCTGTTTTGCTCTTGGCTTGACTGTTGTTGGTGTATAGGAAATTGTAGTTATTTTTGCACAGTGATTTTGTATCCTGAGATTTTGCTGAAGTTGTTTATCAGCTTAAGAAGCTTTTGGGCTGAGACGATGGGGTTTTCTAGATATTAGATCATGTTGTCTGCAAACAGAGACTGTTTGACTTCCTCGCTTCCTATTTGGATGCCCTTTATTTCTTTCTCTTCTTAATTGCCCTTGCCAGGTCTTCCAGCACTATGATGAATAGGTGTGGTGAGCGGGGGCATCCTTGTCTTGTGCCAGTTTTGAAGGAGAATGCTTCCAGCTTTTGCCCATTCAGTATGATGCCAGTTGTGGATTTGTCTTATACGGTTCTTACTATTTTGAGGTATGTTCCTTCAATACCTAGTTTGTTGAGAGTTTTTTAACATAAATGGATGCTGAATTTTATGGAAAGCCTTTTCTGCATCTATTAGATAATCATATGGTTTTTTTCTTTAGTTCTGTTTATGTGATGATCTCATTTATTGATTTGCATATGTTGAATCAACCTTGCATCCCAGGAATAAAGCCTACTTGATTGTGGTGGATAAGCGTTTTGATGTGCTGCTGGATTTTGTTTGCCAGTATTTTATTGAGGACTTTTGCATCAATATACATGTTCATCAGAGATATTGTTCTGAAGTTTTCTTTTGTGTGTGTTTGTCCCTGCCAGGTTTTGGTATCAGGATGATACTGGCCTCATAGAATGAGTTAGGGAAGAGTCCCTCCTCCACAATCCTCAATTTTTTGGAATAGTTTCAGTAGGTATGGTACCAGCTTTTCTTTGTACATCTGGTAGAACTCAGCTGTGAATCCATCTGGTTCTGGCTTTGTTTTTTTTGTTTGTTTGTTTTTTGGTTTTGGTTGGTAGGCTATTTATTACTGCCTCAATTTCAGAGCTCTTTATTGTTCTGTTCAGGAATTCAATTTCTTCCTGGTTCAGTCTTTGGAGGGTGTATGTGTCCAGGAATTTATTCATTTCTTCTAGATTCTCTAGCTTATGTGCATAGAGGTGGTCATAATATTCTACAATGGTTGTTTGTATTTCTGTGGGGTCAGTGGTAATATGCCCTTTGTCATTTCTGATTGTGTTTATTTGAATATTCTCTCTTTTCTTCTTTATTAGTCTAGCTAATGGTGTATCTATTTTATTAATGTTTTAAAAAAAATCAGGTACTGGATTTGTTAATCTTTTGAATGGTTTTCATGTCTTAGTCTCCATCAATTCCATTCTGATTTTGGTTATTTCTTGTCTTCTGTTAGCTTTGGGATTTGTTTGCTCTTGGTTCTCTAGTTCTTTTAGTTGTATTGTTAGGTTGTTAACTTGAGATCTTTCTGTCTTTCTGATGTGAGCATTTGTGCTACAAATATCCCTCTTAACACTGACTTAGCTGTGTCCCACAGATTCTGGTATGCTGTATCTTTGTTATCATTAGTTTCAGGTAACTTCTTGATTTCTGCCTTAATTTCCTTATTTACCCGAAAGTAATTCAGAAGCAGGTCATTCAATTTCCATGTAACTGTATGGTTTTCAGTGAATTTCTTAGTCTTGATTTCAAATTTGATTGCACTGTGGTCTGAGAGACTGTTTTTATAATTTCAGTTCTTTTGCATTGACTGAGGAGTGTTTTACTTCCAAGTATGTGATTGATTTTAGAGCATAGCCCATGTGGCTGTGCAAATAATATGTGTTCTGTTGTTTTTGGGTGGAAAGTCCTGTAGATGTCTATCAGGTCAATTTGATCCACTGTTGAGTTCAGGTCCTGAATATCTTTGTTAATTTTCTGTTTCAATAATCTGTCTAACATTGTCAGTGGTGTATTAAAATCTACCACTATTATTGTGTGGGAGATTAAGTCTCTTTGAAAGTCTCTAACAACTTCTTTTATAAATCTGGGTGCTCCTGTATTGGGTTCATATGCATTTAGAAGAGTTAGATCTTGTTGAATTGAATGCTTTGCCATTATGTAATGCCCTTCTTTGTCTTTTTTGATCTCTGTTGGTTTAAAGTCTGTTTTGTCAAAAACTAGAATTATAACCCCTGCTTTTTTCTGTTTTGCATTTGTTTGGTAGATTTTCCTCCAAGACTATGTGTGTGATTATATGTGAGATGGGTCTCTTGAAGACAGCAGACCCATGGGTCTTGGTTCTTTATCCAGTTTGCCACTCTGTGCCTTTTAATTAGGACATTTAGCCCATTTACATTCAAGGTTAGTATTGCTATGTGTGGATTTCATCCTGTCATCATGATGTTAGCTGGTTATTTTGCAGACTTGTTTATGTGGTTGCTTTATAGTGTCACTGGTCTGTGTGCTTCAGTGTGTTTTTGTAGTGGCTGGTAACAATTTTTCCTTTCCATATTTAGTGCTTTCTTCTGGAGCTCTTGTAAGGCAGATCTGTGGTAAAAAATCTGTTTCACTTATAAAGCTTAGCTTGGCCAGATATGAAATTCTTGGTTGGAATTTATTTTCTTTAAGAATGTCGCATATTAGCCCCCAATCTCTTCTGGCTTGTAGGGTTTATGCTGAGAGGTCCACGTTAGAATGTTAGGCTTCCTTTTGTAGGTGACCTGACCTTTCTTTCCAACTGCCTTTAAATTTTTTTCTTTCATTTCAGCTCAGGGGAAGTTGCAGTATGGGGAGGGTACATGTGGGCTGGTGCATGGCCAAAGGGACTGCCTTGCTAAGGCTGTCCACCATTTAGGCACTGTCTGCCAGCACAGAAGCTGTGCTGTGGATCCCAAAGGCACCTGAGACTGCTCCGTAAACAGGCATGGCCAGGCTGGGGTTCTGGGAGAGGTCAGCAGACCAAGGGGTGCTTAGGTTGGACCAGCCCTGTTTGACATGCAAGACCACTGGGCAGAGGGCAGGTCTGATGGTTCCCCTAGAGCTAAAGTCTTTTATGGGAGTAAGTTGAGCCTAGAAGAACAGCCGTCTCTGGTAAGGCTCTGCTACACACACTCCTGAACCAAACCCTCTGGGTTCCATATCATCTGGCTTGCTGCTCCACCACTTTGCTTGTCCCCTGGTGGCTCCACCTCAGAGAGATGTGGGTCAGCAATTGCTCAGTGCAGTCAGCCCAGGAAGAAGGGTCTGTGTTGTGGGCCCAAGACTGGGGTTCCCTGTATTGTGATGAGCAGTGGGGGATGTGTGCAACCTGTGGAAGATGGACTGGCCTCCTCTCCTTGGGATGACTACAGCTTGTTGAAGGTGTGGATAAGGCATTTAGAGTCTTCGTTCCTTCATTAGTCTGAGAGTAGCAAGGACAGTTCCACTGCAGAGACAGTGGCAGAGAGGCTTTCAGTTGCCCCTGGAGGCTCTGTCCAGGGAGTTGCTGAGTTGGCTTAATAGACCTGGCAGGGGGTGACTAGAGGCCCAGGCTTGGAGAACCTTCCTGGTGCGGAGATATGTGAATGGGCATCCACTTAACAGTTTGGCCACGTTTTTGTAGGGCTGCTGTGATATGCTGGGGGGGTCTACTCCAGTCTGTATTTGCCTCGAATTTTCCAGTACCTAGAGGTATCACCAGTGAAGGCTGTGACACGGCAAAGATGGCAGCCCACCCCTCCCTCTGTGAGCTCCATCCCAGGGAGATACAGACCTGTTGCTGGCCTGAATGCACCTGTAGGAGGTGGCTGGAGACCATGGTTGGGAGGTCTTACCCAGTGAGGAGAAATAAGGTTGGCGAAACACTTTAAAAAGCAGTCTGGCCATGTTTTTCTAGAGCAGCTTTGCTGTGCTGGGGGTCTGCATCAGCCCTCAGTTGCCTTGGACACTCCAAAGCCTGAAGGCTGGAATGGCTAAGTTGCCCAAACAGCAAAGATATTGGCCCACCCCTCCTGCTGGGAGCTCAGTCCCAGGGAAGTTTGAAACCTCTGTCAGCTGGAGAACACCAGCAAAGGTAGCTGGAGACCCTGGCTGGGAGGCTCCATCTGGTGATCAGGGATAGGTTTGGGGACCTGCTTAAAAAAGTAGTCTGGGTACGTTTTTACAGGGCAGCTGTGCTGTGCTGGGGTACCACTTCCACCACTGGTCAGGGCTCCTCAAAGCCTGAAGGTTGGTACAGCTAAGTGGCCCAAAGAGCAAAAATGCCAGCCTGCCCCTCCCTCTGGGAGCTCCATCCCAGGAAGCTTTCAAAACTCTGTCAGCTGGAGAATTCTGGTGAGGTTGGCTGGAGGGCCTGGTTGGGAGGTCCCACCCAGTGAGGAGGAATGGGATTAGGGATCTTCTTTAAAAAAAGAGTCTGGCCACATTTTTGCAGAGCAGCTGTGTTGGGGGATCCCTTCTGTCCCTGGTTGGCTTGGACTCTTTAAAGCCCAAAGGCTGGAATGACTAAGTGGCCCAAACGCAAAGATGGTGGCCTGCCCTTCCCCTTGGGAGCTGTCTCTGGGAGGTGAAATTTTGCTACTGGCTGCTGACTGGAGTTCCAAGCCAGTAGGCCTTATACTGTGAGGTGCTGTGGAAGTGGGGCCTACAGACTCTTGCTGCTTGGCCCCCTGGATTCAGCCCATTTCCTAGGGGTATGTACAGGGGTCTAACCTCCCACTTTGCCCGAGTTGCAGCTGCTTTTGCTGGGAAGCCTGGAAAGCCCTAGTATCTCAGGCTCCTGGGTCTGTGTGTGTGCCTGAGCAGCTGCTCTGCCGAAACTCCACATAGCTGTGTGTGTCAGACTGAAGGCCCTGGTGAAGTGGGCTCATGAGAGGATCTCCTGATCTGAGAGTTGCAAAGATCTGTAGGAGAAGCATGGATTCCCAGGGTCACACATTCACTCATCACTTCCCTGAGTGGAGGATGGTTTCCCTGGCTTCATGTGGCTCCTGGGCGAACTGTCATCCTGCCTTACTTTTCTCCATTCTCTGTGGGTTGAGTTGTTTCCTTGATTATTACCAATGTGAGTACCTGGATGTTTTGGTGGAAGGTGCTATATTTACTTGCCCCTTCTGTTCCTCTTCATGAGAGCCACACACACTAGCTGCATCTAGTTGGCCATCTTGGCCACTTCCCCAATTTTTGAAACTATAAATTAAAAGGGTAATGAGAAAATTAAATGAGATATTTTCTTATTTTTATTGCCACATTATTGTCTTTTTTTTTGCTACAGTCTAGCAAAAAATATACTTGTAACATATTTGTGTCAGATTACACTTTCCAAAGATAGTCATAGCCGTATCTCCCATCTCACATGATATTTTTACAATACATCTTTTATATTCCAATTGAAAGATAATATTTATATCCCATACTCATGAGACAAAGAAGGTATCTGGGCTGTTGGACTATCAAAGTTTGGCAAAAGTGGTGTTGGATGATTTCCAAGGCTAGGTCATAATAGGAGACTCAGCTTCTACCTTGATCACTGAAACATGCAGTCTGGAGTCCTGAGCTGCAATGTGACTAATACTACTGCCTTGAGGCCATCATGCTGTGAGGAGTGTAAACTGTCCTAATGTGAAGAGGTCACATGGAAAAGCTATGAGACTATATGAAGAGAGGGATGGTTGGTCATCTCTACTCTCCCCCGTCCACATCTTCACCTGCAATCTGTCACTTCATGAGAGACCCTGAGACACATCTGCCTAGCCAAGCTATTTATGCATTCCCAACAGATCAAAATCATGAGAAATAATAACACTATTTAGTTTTATAGTATTAAGTTCTTGGAGATTTGTTTTACAACACTAGTAACTGATAAGATTATTTGTCTAGCCTTTCTCAAGTTTATTTTTTAAAAAGTTTCTTTAATACATGGAAAGATTACTTTTATTGTCCTAAGAATGAGATATATAATTTCAAGAGCTGACATTATTTTCCTACTCATATTTATTGCTTGAAATTGTTTTCTTTGATCTGGGAGGGTTATAATTTTCACTTCTTTTTCTCTTCCTTACTTCTATCTCTTTTGGGAGAAATGAATTTGAATTTCATAAATGAAAGTGACAGCAAGAGGATGATGCATTACTTACTGATTCAGTACAGTTATTAGAATCAACAGCATCTTCCTTCAGCATAAGCTTATTGAAATTACCTTTATATTATGCATAATGTGTATTTAATGTATTTTAGAAATCTATCATTTGGAGATAATCGTGGTTTTCTGTTTATTCTCTACTTCTGTAAATCTCATTATTTTGATCTGCTTTTCATACGCACGCGGTTGATTCTTCACATATTTTGCAGCATAATTCTCTTCTTTAGTGTGTTCAATGGCTTGTATCATTTACACCAATATAGTTCTTCATATAGTTCTTATTTGCAATCTTGTATTTTGTGATAAAATTTCTTGAAACACCTGATTTCAGTGGTTATTGAGCTGAATTGATGATGGTGACAATGGTAATAATAATGTGAGTCTTTCCCTTTCTCATTCTCTTCTTCTTCTCTGATCTTTTTTAAGGATATCCATTTACTTATTTTCAAATTTTGTTCTGTGCTAAAGGGGTTATTTACAGTTAAAATACCTTTATGCTCTTTTGATATTGTGAAATCCAGTCTTTATTGTAAGTTAGCCTTAGGAAATGTGCATCATCAAGGAACAAATGAAAAGCAGTTTTTCTAGTTTCCTTCTCAGATATCCCTTGAGTCCTTATAAAAGTGGTTTCAAGACAGGTTTGTGAAATGGTTGAATTTGCCTTCAGTGTTCCTAGAGTTCATGCACTTTCTCATTGTCCTATTCCAGATATCTGCTCTTCTCTCCAACCTTCCCAGGTCTCAGGAGTCACATGTGCCCTTTCCTAAGACCATAGAAAAGCTTATTCTCAAATTGTTGTTCACACAGAAGTATGAATTACTATTAATGACATACATTTAGCCATTTCAGAAACTCATTCTTTTCTTTTTATTTGTATAAATTTAAGTGGTACACCTGCAATTTTGTTATGTGGATATATTGAGGAGTGGTGAAGTCTTGGCCCTTACTGTATCCATTGCCAGAATAATGTTTTTTGTACCCATTAAGTAATTTCTTGTCAGCACCTTTTCTGAGTCTCCAGTGTTTATTATTCCACACTCTACATCCATGTGTACACATTATTTAGCTTCCAGTTATAGGTGAGAACGTATGGTATTTGATTTTCTGTTTCTGAGTTGTTTCACTTAAGATAATGAATGGCCTTCAGTTCCATTCATGATGCTGCACAAGATATGATTTCATACATTTTTATAGCTAAATAGTATTTCATTGTGTATATATACCACATTTTCTTTAATCCAATCATCTGTTGATGGACACTGAGGTTGGCACTAGATTTGCTATTGTAAATAGTGTCGTGATAAACGTATGAGTACAGGTGTGTTTTTGATGTAATGATTTCCTTTCCTTTGAGTAAGATACCCAGTAGTGGGACTGCTGGATCAAGTGGTAGATCTATTTTTAGCTATTTGAGAAATCCCCCTACTGTTTTCCATAGAGGTTGTACTAATTTATATTCCCATTTACAGTATATAAGTATTCCTTTTTCTCCACATCTTCCTTTTTCTCCACATCTTTGCCAACATCTGTTATTTCTTCACTTTTTAATAATTGCCATTGTGACTGGTGTGACATGATATCTCATTGCAGTTTCAGTTTATATTCCTCTGATGCTTAGTGATGTTGAACATTTTTTATATGTTTGTTAGCCATTAATAATAAATTCTCTTTAATGGTAATAAAGCTAAAGAAATGAATACCCCATTGCATATTTGCCAGTAGCTGAGGAAAGTTTTCGAAAGTGACCTCAGTTTTTTTTAATTGCCCTGAAACAATGCTTATAGGTGATCCCTGGATCAAAGAATTAGTTCATTTCAAACTCATGTTTATTAATTTCCTGACACTTATGTATAAGATCATTTTTGCTCAGATGTGGGTCTAAATCGGTTTGTTCATATCTGGATAAAAGGGAGAAGGTATTTGATATCTTCAAACTGTTGTTTTTCAATCTATGAGATTTTCTTAAATACAGAAAATACTCTTAATGAAAGCCATGGTGTAAAATACAGTTTAAATATTCAGTGGTTTTCTTATGTCTTCTCTATGAAAGCAGGAAATTAGAGTTAGTAAGTAGGATGAAAAGAATGCGTTTCTTACACTGCACATAAATTAGATCATTTTATTTGTAGCCACCTCATCCCTGGGAATCCCATGCAGAAGGCAAGTCTTAAACAATACACCATTTCCAGAGGGTTGGAGAGAATGTAATTTACACCGTGAAATCCATTCTCTCTTCTTAAGAATTTTATTCCTTGAGTATTGTTTCATCTAGGTGCTGAATATATGTGAATTTTAAGATTTATGATCTGGTTCAATGTTGCTGGAATCATAATGGCTGTGATTCTACTTTGCTGACCACTTGAAAGCCAGACATAAGTTGATGGAGATAGAAATTCGGTCATCTTTATACCTATGTTAGAATTATCAATTCTTCCACAATACTACCGAGGTTAACAGTATGTTTTTTACATTTGATTTCAACACACACGTAAAAACAGCAACTGATAATTAGGTGTTTTTGTTGTTGTTGTTTTGTTTTGTTTTTTGATACAAAGTCTCGCTCTGTCAACTAGGCTGGAGGGCAGTGGCACGATCTCGGCTCACTGCAGCCCTGCTTCCTGGGTTCAAGTGATTCTCCTGCCTCAGCCTCCCAGGTGGCTGGGATTACAGGTGTGTGCCATCATGCCTGGCTAATTTTTGTATTTTTTAGTAGAGACGGGGTTTCCCTATGTTGGCCAGGCTGGTCTCAAACTCCTGACCTTGGGTGATCTGCCCGCCTTGGCCTCCCACAGTGCTGGGATTACAGGCATGAGCCAATGCGCCCAACCATACTGATCATTAGGTGTTTATTGGTAGAATACATCTCCTTGTTTATTACATGAAGCATGTGGGCACTCCAACAAGTCGCAGCATTTGGTATAATATATAAACAATAAGTAATTGTTAAATAAATAAATGCCTGGGATTGAATCTTCTTTCTACCATTCTTAGTTGTATGATGTTTCTCTTCGTTTCCTCATCTGTACAAACGGTGCTGATAGTAACAGTTTCTACCCATTAGAATGGATTAAACATGATAATACAGGTAAAGCACTTAAGAAGGTGCCAATGCATGTTAATAGTAAGCCCTGCCTTTAGTCACCCACCTCTCACCAACATGTCCAAAGATAGCTCCTACACTCTTGGCCACACCACCAGACTCTAACTAGAGCCGTGATTGACCTTCTTAACCTTGATTGACTTTGTATAGGAAAACTTAGGGGGCTTTCAAAAAATACTGACATCTAGGTTCCCACTCCTAGTGAGTTTGATTTAATTGGGTTAGGGTTTGACCTGAGCATAGAGATTTATAAAGGCTCCGCAGGTAATCCTAAAGTGCAGCTAAAGCTGAAGAAAAACTGGACTGGATGTGATCAACAGGGCTTGTCTACCTCTAAATCTTATAGCTTTTCCTCAGAGTATCTAGAAATCAGCAATAATATATCAAAATCACTCCTCTTAGATTTACAACTCTTTTTACGCTAGATGAAATCCAGATAGGTTATATCTTTATAATGTTAACATATTTTTAGTTCTGGATTAATGCCTCTTTGGCCCAGGGTGTGTGAGTTGTTAAATTCGTTCCTATCATTTTAGTGTTATCTTTGTGAGGAATGAACATACTGATTAATATTACATTTTACAAAGTGGCATATTTTCAAAGCTTCTTTGTAGAGACTACTGCTTTGACTTAATATCAAGGAATAGAATGGCTAACGTTCTCTGAATAGGCATTTGTTTTGCTGTAAGAATTCCTTAAGCATGATGTCGGCGACTGACAAGATGAAAAATGGTTCTGTGATTCATTTCCAGCCTCAGGCTTATAGAACCACTTAAATATTTTGAGATGTCCTCCTACATCCTGAAATTGTACTAAATCAGAACTGAAAGGATCTCAACAGTCTGAGATTGATCCAAGGGTTAAAATATCATACTCTATTTCTTTTCCATAATACAGTAATGCTATGAAAATAAAGTTTACAAAGAAAGATTAAATATGATTAACAGGCAAATTTGAGCTTGAAACTTACTATCATATTCTGTTATAATTTGTCTGAACAAGTTAAAAAAATGTTACATGCCCCTCACATACTCCTAATCATCAGATGCTCCTAATGAAACAACATATAAATGGATTCTTGAAAGCATTCACAATTCCAGACCATTTTGAGCCAGTCATTAAAATCTTTTGTTCTCTTAATGCCTTGTAAAGTTATTCTCAAGCAATGTTCCAGCTGACTATGACTCATAGTCAGGGGACCAGGCCAATGGAACTTAGCATGAAGTGCTTTATGTGGTATAAAGAGGCTTCTACTGTATTTCAATGTATGGACTTTGAAAGTAACACACAGTAAAGCCAGATGGTAAACACATGTTGACCCCATTCAGAAAACACAGTCCTAAGATTCAACATAAGCTCTGCATCAAGAAAGAATGCAAGGTTGTTAAAGAATAACAGACTCTCACTGAAATAGATAAACAATAGTATAAGGGCCTATAAAAATAATTCAACTGAAATACTTCCTTGTTGGTTTTAGCAAAAAGAGAGTATCCTTGATATTTTCAGATGACTGACTATATTCATGTATCAGATTTCATTTTTAGACACAGCATCTTGACTGTAATAGTTATTATAGATTTATTCATTCCACGTATATATAGAGAGTGTCTACCGTGTGTCAGGTATTGTGATAGGAGTTGAGACTTAGTGAACAAGATTAGCATCAAACTTATTAGGAGCACTGGAGAAGCACCCAGAGGAAATGATTATATAAGATTATTATTTATATAGTTATCATGCTCATATGAAGTCCACCAAAATCTAGAATAATACGACACATATAGAACTTAATATGTGTGAGATTCTGTTCTAAATGTTTACACATAATAACTCATTTAATCTTGCAACAATCTGTGAAGTGGTTTCTACTACTATCCCACTGTAATGTGTAAGGAAAATGAAACAAAGAGGGGTTAAGTAACTTGCCTAGGATGACCCTGCTAGTAATGTCAGAGCTGGAGTTCCCTGCTTTCCAGGTAGCCTGGTGTCTGTTTTACATTTTGAGCTACATCATGAGCTAGTGATACAATTACTTGACACTAATTATACTTTACAATAAAGCATATTAATTCGAGTAATTTTAATACAGTAATCCTTTGATGTTTATTACTTGAAGGAACAGTACAGGTTAAGACAGAATAGCAAGAAAACTTGAATGATAATAAAGAGATACAAGGGAGAAAGTGTTACTTTATGTATTATGCCCTAACATTTAAAATATTTTTAGTAACCTTAATTTCATTTTTTAAATATAAAAATAATTAACACTCATAGTAGGAAATATAGAAAAGTGAAAAACCACCATACACTATCTCATTTTCAAGATGAGAATATTTTATTACTATTCTTTTTCTATATGTAAGATTCATAGAATTATAATATAGTGATTAAAATAAAATTGTATGCTACTTATTGCATACATTAGTATAATATAAACATATCTCACAGTAAAATAGTTATTTCTAAACCTTATTTTCAAAAGTAGCTCCCCATCCCATCTTTTTAGGAAAAGAGGATTATCTTTCACATTATTCCTTGATACCAAAGTTATCCAGAGTCTGATATTTATCTAAGCCAGCCTGGTGGTTTGGGAGTTCTTTAACATGTGCAGAATGATGGTCTGGAAAAACCTAAGTTATTGTTCAACAGCTGAATAAACTATCAATATCAAGAGAGCAGTGCAAATCTCTCTAAATAATTCTTTTAAAGAGGAAGCCATCTCAATGGAAATGGGTGAATATTTGTCCTTTGTAATATTATGATGCGAATTTCCAATTACTGAACCCAATGTCAGCTCCTGAACAAGTGAGATAAATGCCTTAGCTCATAGGTACTTTTGACTCCCAAGACATGTCACTCTAAAACCTCATGTTCATTTATTTCACCAACATTTAATACCACAGCACATGATTTATTTGGTATGATTCCAGTGCATTGGCAGGGAAAATAAATAATAGTTCTCTGCATATAATTATCTAGGAGACTAGGTCTTTGACAGGGGAATTACCCATTTAAAGATGGATGGCAAATGCTGCTAGTCATTGGAGAATGTCTGAAAGCCTTTTCTTGTTCCGAAATGAGTCTTTAAAGAAGGCATCTGTAGAACAAATGATTATAGAGGTCACATAGTTCAAATGACAAATTCTGCTAACAAAGCAAGGCTCCTGTGTATTACTGGGCACTTTTGCTTCTTAGGTCATGGAAAGAGAAAAATAAAGAGATAGCTAGGGAAGGAAAAGCAATTGTTCCAAAAACCACCACTATCACCAGCACCACCACCAATGATAACAATAAAATCACCAAAACAATTGCAACAAAAAGTAGATAAAGTTGAAGAGAGAGAGCAAAAGAGCAAAAAGGGAAGTGAAATGCAGAAAAAAGTACATATGGTAAGAATTATGGAGAAATTCTGCCAGTGGTACTAACTGAATAAACTGTCGAATTGATCTAATATATGGTTCAGAGGGCTGACAGCTGAATTTCAGGTATCTTCATTAGCAACTGTGCACCTTTAAAATGCGGCATATCTTTATTTTCCTGTCTTGAAATAAAACAATAGAATATCAAGAAACTCTATTTACCTATAAGGCCCTAATTAGAATGAAATGATGGGTATTAGATAATGTTCTAGACATGATTTCAAATATAAAGACCCATTATTTTTATTTATTTTATGATGAACATATTTTTGTGATATTCTCTGATCTAATTTCCATCCTTTATATCTCTGTATGATTGGTATATTTATCATAAATTTAAAAAACAGAGCTGTTTACCAATATCAAGTGAAAAGTCTCATAATAGTGAACAATTACTAACTGATTACAATACTAACCCAAGAGGTCAATGTGAACTTTCTCATATAATTCTCATAAATTTATTTGAGTTATGTGGCATTGTTATACTTTTTTTACAGCTGGGGAAACTGAGTAACGAAGCAGTTAAGTAACTTGCTCAATAGAGGAGCCATGACTTATAACCCAGGCAGTCTGATTCTGGAAGCTGTGCTCTTAACCACGACACGAAGTAAAATAAAAGTGAAAGAAAAAAAAAGCCAGGAATAAATGAGGTTTCTTCAGGCATACTTTATGATTTTTACTTAATATTTTCAACATTGATTTAACTAATATTTACCAAGCACCTTTTAGATTCGTCGTACCATGCTGCACTGTATTATTGTGATTGATGAATGATATGTGTGGTGCCTGCCACATGGAATATATAATCGAGAGAGATAATGAAATATAAATAATTTGTCAATTTTTCATTTATTGCAAACACAGATCTGGGTGTTCTGGGGCCATTTTAATTTTTACAATATAATTATTACTAAAGGTTAAATAGCTTAGAATATATATGTATACATATACATATGTTAGTACATATACACAATATATGTACATATACAATATATACATATATTGTGTATATGTTAGTACATATACACAATATATGTACATATACAATATATACATATATTGTGTATATGTTAGTACATATACACAATATATGTACATATACAATATATACATATACGCAATATATGTACATATACAATATATACATATATTGGGTTTGTGAGTCTTCCATTCTAATGTTAACTTTCCTAAAAATGTTGACTGTGTTATTAGGCAAGTTGTAACTACTTTTTACATCAAGCATCCCATTCACCAAATGATGCTAATGCCTACTACAAATGCAGGAAAAAATGATGACATAATTTTTGGGTAGAGTTCTCAGCTCTGTGGTAGGGCAAGAAAAACAAAAACCTTCATTGTCCACCTTGAATAATTACTATACAGTGGAGACTAATCCTTGATCTCAAGTTAATAACGGGAAGCTATCTGAAGGTGCTTGCTTTGAAAGATTACAGGCTTAAGCAGATATAGGGGGATCATAAATAGCAGACATATTGTGAAATAAAATTTTACTCCAGGAGTACTAAGAATGTTTTTATAAGGATGTTGAAATAATGGGTTGAAACCATGGAGACTGAGTTAGGCATTGGATGAGCTGTTTCCACATTGTGCCAGAGGTGAAAAGATGAAGGTGAAGAGGGAAGCTATTGAGCTGTGAGAAGGTTATAAGTAAACTAAAAAGTGGACTGAAGGATAGAGTAACTGTTTCTGGAAGGAGTTGCCTAAGCCAAAAACCTTTTCCTGGCATACCCGTAGAACATCTTGTTTTTATGCTGAAAAGAGAGTCCACATTAATGTAGTTTAGTTGTGTTTGCATCCTTGTGATTTTCTGAAGCTCATAATAAGTGTGCTAGGAATAGCTTAATTGTTGTAGTTTACATCATAAAGTAATTACCACCATCATGGTGGTCAGTAGAGATCTTCTAAGGATAAAATATGTGCTAGTGTTTTTTTCACTTTGCATCATTTTTTCTTTCTTTTGGCTATGATTTCTTGGGAATAATACAGAGACAACAAATGATGTCTTAAATTCATAGTTCTTACTCTTCTGCCAACTTTTTTTTCATATAACTATCCCCTGGTTGGAATAGGATTTTCTACCTTTGCAATATGTGTATTAAAAACCGAATTTGTGGCCGGGTGCAGTGGCTCATGCCTGTAATCCCAGCACTTTGGGAGGCTGAGGCAGGCAGATCACTTGAAGTCAGGAATTCGAGACCAGCCTGGTCAACATGGTGAAACCCCGTCTGTAATAAAAATACAAAAATTGGCCGGGCATGGTGTCATGTGCCTGTAATCCCAACTACTTGGGAAGCTGAGGCAGGAGAATAACTTGTAACTGGGAGGTGGAGGTTGCAGTGAGCTGAGATGGTGCCACTACACTCCAGCCTGGGTGACAAGAGTGAGACTCTGTCTCAAACACAAACAAACAGACAAACAAATAAATGGAATTTGTAATTGTCCAAAACATACAAACAAACAAATAAATGGAATTTGTAATTGTCCACAACAAAAATTGATGGTAGAGAATATAACCAGTTGTTATCTACTTGTAAATAGATGGTTACTTTTTTGTTCGTTCATAACATAGAAATAATGATATTATTAAAAATATCTCTTTTTTTTACTGGATATGGGCAAAGTAGTAGTCATGTATATCAGTGTGTGAGTCATGGGCAGATAGCATCAGCATTACCCACAAACCAGCCTTTTTCCAGCCCTACTGAATTAGAAACTGTTGGTAGAGTTCAGGAATAGATGGTTTAACTAGTTTCTCAGGTGGTCTTTATGAAAACGAAAGTTTGAAAAGTCCTAGTTCATGTCACTTTCATTCACATTCTCTTGGCCAGAACCCAATCATCTGACCCTAATTTCATGCAAGGCTGTGAGAGAAGCCAGTTTCCAGAGCAACTCTACCCTTCGGTACACAGAAATACCCAACTCGACCTAGTGTTTGGCAAACAACTAGCTATCTCTAGCTAGCATTAATCTTTCAGAAGAAAAGTTATGTCACAAGAAAATAAGTTTTAGAAGGTACTGGAAATGTTGTTTAATCAATAGTCAACCCAATTTTATTTATTTGTATTGCTTTATATTTAAAATATAGTGCTAATTCTCTTTTATATTTGTGGCACTTTGAAAAAAATTCAACTAAAAGCCTTGATAGAAAAAAAAGTTTCAATGAAAAGGATGTGTTCTGAGCAGAGCCAAATTTCTATTTATTTCTGCCAATTGCTAACCAAGTGGCATTGGGAAAGTTGAACCTGTTTTAAGAAATTCAAAGTAAAATAAAAGCTTTAACATTGAGGATACTTGAGGTTTGACAGTTTTATGTTTTCTAAGTTAATATTTTGGGATTATAATTAAATCCAATGATTAAATGAATATGTATTTGATTATTTTATGCTTTGCAAAGGTAGTTACTGGGGATTAAAACTTAGTCTAGTGATAGGAGAACTAGATATGTAAATAAATAAAAACAGTACATATGTGATTTTATTGTCTTTTATAAGTTTCATATGTTTCAGCTTTAAAAGCAAATCTATTAAAATAGTTAATTCACAATTTAGGACTATTTCTAGTGGTATTATGAGACAGACCATGCAGAGTTTTATTTTTTTATTTTTTTATTTTTGAGACAGTCTTGCTCTGTCACCCAGGCTGGAGTGCAGTGGCATAATCTTGGCTCACTGCAACCTCCTCATCCTGGGTTCAAGCAATTCTTCTGCCTCAGCCTCCCAAGTAACTTGGGATTACAGGCATATGCCACCACACCTGGCTAATTTTCGTTTTTTTTTTAGTAGTGATGGAGTTTCACCGTGTTGGCCAGGCTCGTCTCGAACTCCTGACCTCGAGTGATGTGCCTGCTTTGGCCTCCCAAAGTGCTGTGATTACAGGCATGAGCCATTGCACCTGGTCCCATATAGCATTTATTAATTATATGTTTTAAGTTTTTCCTCATTACTGTATAAACAATAACTATTACTGTATTCTCAGTTCCTGGAACTGTATATACTTAGTAGAATAGCATGCACTATATATTTGTTAAATTAATGAAACAAAATATTAAACCCCATGGTTTAGTTATGACTCAGAGTATCTTCCTTACCATTCCCTAGTACATTGTGGCCAACAATTTTCATGCCTTATGTATCTATCAAGCAATGTGATCTATGATAATCACCAGTGCAACTAAAGAAAAATAAAAAGAGCTTAGTGTTGTTATCTCTGAAAAATGAGTCAAGTGGTCACTCTGGTCTATGTGGATTTTTAAAGCTTTGTGCTGGTAATAAAGAAGTCCAATTTGTAAAGGAGAAAAAAACACATAGCAAAAGGAGAAGACTTCTGTTTGAGCTTGTGAATAGGCAAGAGAAATAAAATAGATTTAAATAGGAAAATTATATAGCTCTTCAATTAAAACAATAAAAGATGTTAGAGTGTCTTTTAAAAGAAATAAATGCTTAGGATAAATTCAGGTTTTTAATTGTTGTTTTTATTGTCACTTATCATTAACTTCCTTGTCAACCCAACCCCAGTGGCACTTTCTAGAGATCTTTGGTTTATTTCTTAGGAGTGGGCTGTCTTCTTTCTCTGTTTCAAAGCAACTGCTGTCTATTTCCTCTCCTAGGCTCTAAAAATGAATCACAAAATGTGTCATTTGTTCAAAGCAAAGATAGCCTCTTCTATATTCAGCAGGACCAAATCAGGTAATATACATGAACAGGCCTCATATAACTTGTTTTTGCTGTTGTTTTTAGAATCTGGAGAACAACTACCCAACTGCAGAGTAGGGGTGTTGCTCCTGCTCTGTGCGTGTTTGTGTTTTAAGAGACTGAGTGAAATCACCCATTTTAAAGGACAGATCAGAGACATTTAAACAAAATTGAATTTGGAGTTTGGATGAAAAATTTACTCCATTTTCTTACAAAAACCAAACTAAATCAAACCATGTTTTCATTTTGTTCACCATCCATTGAGAACATTATGGATTTTTTCTCTCTGTTTTTTAAATTTTATTATCGTATATTAAAATTTGGTTTTAAAGTTTGTTTGTTTTTTTTTGTTTGTTTGTTTTCAGATGAGTTTGGGCGCATTCAGGGCAGTATGACCATAGCCTGGTTTTTTTATTTTCAGAAACAATGCCTTTAGTCCTTTAATTTCCTCTCTACTTGCTCATCTGACATGTGTTCATTGCTCTCATTCTCCTGCTTCTCTAAATAATATTAAGTAACAGAAAATGTGCTATTTAATAAAATTAAAATGAAGTTTATTAACATATTTTTCAGAATACTATATATATTCTTAATATTTGTTTGTGTCCAGAGAATTTTTACTTTAATGTAATATAAACCTTAGGACTAATTGAATTGGAAGTATATTCTAAAGGCTACTTACTCCACCATTCTATGTTAACTCACAAACTATATAACAGAAAAAAATCATTTTTTTCTTTATGATAAATCTTAGATTAATTTTGACAAGCTCAGCATGACAATCAAACTTGCTGTACAACTTTGATTTATGTGAAAACACACACACACACATACCATCCATCAACTCTTAAAAATTTCTTCTGATTGATTGGCTAGAGAATGAAAGATTTACAGAAATATATTAGACAAAAGAACAAGCTATGAAGCTAAAATACTAATTACTAATGACAGAAGGGCAATAACATTTATTGGGAAAAGTATCTCTTCCCCTGAAGCATCTTAAAGGTTGTCTATTGATGGCTTCAGTGCTTTTCAAGGGTTAAACAAGACAATCAAATTAAATTCATATTTGCATATATGTAAGTATGGTTGAACAGTATAAATAATGCCACCTTTATGTCTAATAAATTATACTACATGAAAAAGATGGACTGCTCATCATCAACATATTCTAATTAAATCTCTTCTGTGAACTGAAGTGTGCAGTTCACAGTATGCATGAAAGCTTT